>NC_000002.12:22812785-22964300 GCF_000001405.40 Homo sapiens | reverse complement strand
ATGCCTGACCCATATATCATCCCAGAATGAGCTAAAGTAGCATTAAAATAGAAAGCTAATTAAATGTACACCATTAGGGGACTTGGGTAAAAAAGAAATTTAGTGGAATATAGACAGCAGGGACCTCTAAGGTAGCATGAGAATTAATTCTAGCTACCTGTGGTCAGCACCTATGTTTAAACATCTCCTAGTTCCTCCCTATACCACCCCTACGATGATGTCAGGCACCATGTAACTAACTGTACATTTTGTTTGATAATTTTCTTCATTGTCTGTCTCCTTTAACTAGAACATAAGCCCTCTATGAGTGCAAAGATTTTTGCCTGGTATTTTTCACCGTTGTATCTTCTGTGCCTAGAGCAGTTCCTGGCACATAGTGGACAAAAGAAATGAATATTTATTGGAACAAAAACACAAATGAAAAAATAGTAAGCACTTTTAGTGGCACAATTTTGATTCTGTTTCTGTTTTTGGTTTTTATTCCATGGTTCATTTTACTAAGCCCTCCTGGTAGCCAGACACTGTAATAGGTGCTGGTTTACAGACATGAACTTGACAGTCATGATCCGGCTAGAATGGAGCTCACAGGCTGATGGGAAGGAGTTGCTGGAGCAGCGATTATGAGGGAGATAAATGGGGAGTAGAGCATGCCATCGCAGTGTGCATCATGGGGTGCTCATCTCCTTGGGGATTAGAGAACTTCCTAGAGGAAGTTGCATCTACTAGAACCTTGAGTGATGAGAAGGTGCTCACTAGAAATGTTCCAGGCCTGGTGGACACACATGAAAAGACCAGAGCTACAGAACTTGGTACTTCTACCAAGAATGAACACCTAAGCTGCTGTTGTTGGGGCCATGACAATCGCTGGGGAGACCACTACAGGACAAATAGAGGATAGACTGGATTGTGGAGAAACCCCGTCAGGATTTTGGTCTGTATGCCAAGGATAATGGGAAATAACTGACAAAAGATAGATTTAAACAGAGAAGTGAGATGACCCTATTTGAAGTTTGCAAGGATGGGTGTGGCTGCAGTATTGACTAGAAGCAGCTGACCCCAGAGGATCACACAAGTCTGGTTGGGAGGCCAGAGTCCTGGGTCCAATTCCTGCCCTGCTCCCCAATTTCCCACCGATGAAGGAGGCCTCTATCCTGTCTGCCTCGTGGAGTTGTTACAAGAAATAAAGGAGACTGGAGAGTCCATAGCAGGATGGGAAATGCTGTCAATGTGACATGCATTTTGTATTCTTTATCTGACCTGGAAAAGGAGAGCATCAAAATGAACTTTGTATTTTCTTGGTCCTCATGTTTAAGGTGAGAAATGGGCCTACTTCTCACTAATTTTCCATCTGAGAAAATTAGAAGCTCTTTGTTTGAGTCACACTCTGTTCCCTTGGTCGGTTATCACAGGCTTGGGGATGGAGAATAAGCAATCTGCATTTTCATTGCTTTTACCATATAGATTAATTTGGTAGCAGAAACACATGCTTGCTATGAAGGTATAGAGCAGCTAATCCTTGCAAAATTCTTGCTGCTGTCCCACAAATAAGCATGAGCCCATGCCCAGTCCCTGAGGGAGGAGGTTTCCCTGTAGAGTGCCCCACACCCACAGGGGTGATACAGGCTGCTGGCTCCCCACTTCTCCATTTCTAATCAATTCCTAGCCTCCCCACTTCTCCATTTCTAATCAATTCTTAGCCTGCTGCGGCTTGGGGCCCAGTCTTTCAATTATTCAAGAATTGGAAAGTATTTGTTGCCTGATGCAGGATTTGCTTTTATTTAACAGAACAAAACCCTGGTAGGTGAGATTCAACACCCAGGGCAGCGAGGTCTCTAGACACATGCAGATTGCTGACAGAGGGGCAGTTGCTCTGGGAAGGGGTCCAGTTCAAACAGCATATAGAGTGGAAGGAATAAGGAAAAAAAAGGCAAACAGAGATGAATAGGAACATCCTGATTTCACCTTCTATTTATCCAACTAGAAAACCAGAGCATGCTGAAATAACGGAAACCTCAGGCTGTGGTTCAGGCAAGGGGCATCTTCGCAAAAAGCATCCCCAGGCTGGGTAGTGAAGAGCTCTGGGTTGTAACCTAGATTTTGCTGCTAACTTGCCCCATGTTTTTGGTAAACTATCTCTCTCATTGGGCCATAGACTTCTCACCTGTGAAACGAGGAATGTAGATTATGTGATCTCTAAGTCTTCCTTGCATCTCTGTTTTCTGATACCAGAGCAATTCTCAGGCCTTGGTACTAGCCGTTAGTAAATCCTCTGCTTAGGATGGAGCTGGTCTCCTTATAATCTCTTCTGCTCATTGTCATCCATTTAATCCTTACTGTTTTTGTTAACAAAACAAATATTGAGCATTTTCTGTGTACTTGGGGGCACCTGTTCAGGGGATCCCAGTCTATGTGTCTCAGGTAATACAACCAGATCATGAAGAGCTAGTTGAGCATCACCTCTATTCTTACTATTTTACTAGACTCTGCAGACTTATTTAATTCACAACAGAAGAGCCTTTTAATGAAAGCTCTGGGAGGCCCATTTATTTACTCCGCTATTCATTCAGCAAACATTTATTGAGCATAAACTATAAGTCAAGTGCTATATAAGGGAAAATCAAAGGTGAATGAGACAAAGATTCTGCCCTCAAATTCACATGTTTTTGTTGATGAGACTGATATATAAAAGGAAAACTATAATGCAGAGAGATAAATGCAAGAGAAGTTATATGCACAGGGAATTAGAGCACAGAAGAGCTGTATCACTGAACACTGCCTGGAGAGCCAAGGAGCGCCTCTCAGAGGAGCTGGGATCTGAGCTAAGAGTTATTTTTAAATAACTGTATAACTTCATTCTGATTATGAAATGTATATATGTATGCATGTGTATAATTCAGAACATTCAGAAAAGAAAGTAAAGATTACCCCCTTTCCCATAATTAAAGATAATAACTAAAAATACATTGGAATATATATTTAAGATATTTTTTGATTTTTCTTTTCTTTCATTCTTTTGACAAAAAGCACCCCATAAATACTGTGCAAGTTTCATTTTAATTTGATGCCATTGACTTTTTATATCAATAATTATAATTCTTCTTTGTTATTTTTAGTAGCTATATATCACATTCTAGTTTTTAGATGTCCTGCTATTCTTTTAACTAATCTGTTGATGGAGTTGGGCTTATTCTAATTTTTCACTATTATAAATAACATTGTGATAAAAATGCTTACCCTTAAGGCTAAGTCTTAGAGGCTGGATATCTGGGCCAAAGGATATCTTAAATATTGATACATACTGTCAGACTGTACTTTAGTTTTCAAGTGGAATTATCTATTTTTCTGTGTGTGTGTGTGTGTGTGTGTGTGTATTCTCATGAGTGCACATGTGTTTTCCTTAGCTAAACTTGAGTGCTTACTATATTTCAGATATTAGACCAAGTGCTTTGCATACATTGTCCAATATAATGATTGTAACTCTTCATACCAAGCAAACCACTGACTCATACACTATTATAGCAGATACTCCAAGAAAAATAATCCACATTTCATTTGTCAACCCAAGAAACTAAGTGGTATTTAGAGGCAGAAAAGTAGGCATATAAAGTATAAGAGAAACCATAAAATCTTGGTTTGAGCCTTGTTGGGATGTCAGTCATCCTGTGCCATTGTCCAGAGTTCATGACCTTCATGACCTTAAACTTAAATGCAACTGGAGAAGTTGTCCACCCTGGGTCTATGACTACTGCCATGACTAAAATCACAACTTGCGGAAGACCACTGCATTTTTAGTTCTATCTATCAGCTGATGTTACCAAAATTTTTCCTAGAAATACAGAGACCATAGGTCCTGATTTACCTAGGAACGTCCTAGTCTATGCCTGTTGTCTTAAAGTAATTATTGATATTGTGCCCTTTCATTCTCAAAATTGTCCCACTTTGGACAGGACATTATTTTTAGGAAACTTGCACCCTGGGCAGAAATTGAGCAGTGAGATTGCCAACTGCTGCCCACTCCCTTATGCTTTAGGGGAGGACATGGCTGTCTCTAACTTTCTAAAGCAACTTACCTTCTTGATCACGCATGAGGATATCTTGCCATGTCACTTATCCAAATAAGAACCAGAGAAAAGCAAAAATACCTGTGTAGTAAGAATCAATTTTTTTCTGTAATAATATTTTTGGCTTTGTCTATGGAAGAAATTCTTATTTAAAGCCTGTCTTCTCTTGTTTCTCATGCAGACCCCCAAAAGCTTGGGTATCTTATTTCTCACCCATAGGTAACTGAAAGGATAGGTTAGAAGGAAGAAAGGAATCCTTAAGGAAAATACCTTGGCACGAGCAAGAAGGGACTGAAAGCAGCCTGAATGAGAGGGAGAAGATACAAAGCCTACAAACAAAGGCAAGAACTGCCACTGCAGTTTACAAGCAACCCCCACCTACCAAAATGGACCTCCAGAGAATCAATGCAGAGGGCAGCCATGGGAGTTCATCGTAATGACCTTGAGTTATCAAGGAAATGTTTCATTGCATTTGATAGGCACATTTAAGAAAGTAGGGTAGAGGGAAACATTTAAGATGAGATCTCCATCCAAAATATTTCATATTGCTCAAATTAGACTTAGAAGAGATAAGCATTCAGCAAGCTGAGTACCTTGATTATGCAGAATGACTTAACTTTCTAAAAGTCATGGGCAGCTAAGAATTTAATATATAAGAAGAAGCATTTACGTCATCTTTCCTGCCCCCAATGATTTCAAATTCTTATTGGTAATATAAGTTTTCAACCTTGCTAAATGACTTTGCATCTTAATAAAGAACTTTGAAAGACCAAAATGCCTTACAATCCCAAAGGAGTCAAGTTCCAGTAATATAATTCTGGGCACTAAGAACACAGGGGGAAAGTTTGATGGGCCAAAGGCTTTTTCTGGTTATCCATGCAAGGAGCTGTTGACTTTCCTTTGTGTGAAGATGGTCCTGTAAAAAGAATTGTCTTCTTAGTTGCTCATGTCCTTTGGAGTCATAACCTCCCGCCCTCTAGACCTGAATCTTGCCTTTAAGACACAGTGCAGAGTAAGTCAAACATGCTCATGGCCAAGAAGAAGGCTGAAGGGTCCCCAGAGAAACTGAGGGTATCACTCTGTACTAATCAGAGACAAAACTACAGATCATTCAAGTGACAAGTGGTTCCAAACTCTCGGAGTCAAGACCTTTGGGGTTCTGAGAGTTCTGGCTGGATGTCCATCAGGCCTCTGCTTAGTAATTCCATCCGTGGCAATGTTTAAAGTGTAATGAAAACTCAATGCAAAAAAATTAGAAGACTCAGGGCTTTAAATAGTTATCCCCAGGACACACAGCCTTAAGGCAGAGGACAGAGGGCAGTGGAAGCAGAAAGGGATGAGGCTACCTCCATGGCACTGTCGCTCACCTCATTGGTGCCCCCACAGGAAACTCAGTCTGGAAGGAAGGTGTTAGATGGTAAGGAGGCCACCCTTTAGAAGGTCAATCCAAAACCTTGACCCAAATCCTTTACCCAACAGAGTGGTTGTGACAGTCACTTCAACCTGCTGAACTGTGATGCGTTCCTGC
The DNA here is from genome assembly GCF_000001405.40 of Homo sapiens. NCBI lineage: Eukaryota > Metazoa > Chordata > Mammalia > Primates > Hominidae > Homo > Homo sapiens. The sequence goes on along the minus strand of NC_000002.12, from coordinate 22,958,711 downwards.
ATGTTGTTACCAAAAGTAATACAGGTCAACGTTTCCCTGAAAGAAACTTAGAATGTCGCTAACCTAATACTTGCTCTCTTTCTGGGCAGTAGAACCTGAATCTCTGAGATCCAGGCAGGAAGAACAGCCTCTAGTTCCAAGTAAGCGTCTGTTGACTCCAGTTAGCATTTCTGGGGTTTTAAGTTGCTTGTTTCTCACTCTCTTCTGCTGGAGAAAAAAAGCAGCAAGGCTATATATAGCTGACTCAGCTATGCAGGGACCAGATAAAGCCCATCCTCCCTAGCCTTGGGCTGAGGCAGAGAGAGTGGCTGCTTTTGCTACATGATCTCCTTTATCCAAATCAGTATCCATCTTCTATAATTGATGTTTATAATAGAGTTATTAGAAGCGTATTCCCTTGAGGCCTGTGTGGGTTGCCTTATATGTCTCATCAATCATTACACCTATCATGTGCTGAAATAAGATGTGCAGAGGGCAAGGACCAATGGTTCACAGGGACCCTGGCATCTGAGATCTGGGAAGATGCTCTACAGCACCAGGGGAACGCTGGAGATAGCAGAGACACACTGTTCTACCTCATAGCTCGAGCCCTGGTGCTGATCCTACACAAATTCTGTTCCTCTACCCCGTGTCTTCTATCATCTCAACACTGCACACTCTCCAACCCACCCCATTGGTCATCATGGTCTCCTGGGAATATGGTTGCTGACTTTAACATCTAAGGAAAATCATATCTGCTACTTTACTCTGGAACAGCTAATTTCAAAATATTTTACGTTTCATCTAGTTCAAGGTTTTCAAAGTCAGTTGCTGTGACTCCTAACAAAGAAGCTCAGGAAATTAAGGTGAGACAGCCTGACCCCAGAGTGGAGGTTCCAGAATCAGATTTTGATGTTTCCTAAAAAAGGCATTAACCACCATCTCTAGACCAGAGAAAACTGTCATTGTCAACCTGTGGTGTAGGAGGCTATGGAGTCCTAGGGATAAGCTAAGGTTGTTTAGACCCCTTGCCCAGCTCCAAGCAGGAAGCAGGGCTTACTATTCCTGCAGAGAGAACCCAGCTGAGACTACAAGCCCCAGGGGATGGGGGACCATGGCTCAATGCACACAGACACAGGTGCATGCACACATACGCGCGCACACACACACACGAAGGTAGAAGTCGGGGGGGGGGGGGGGGGGCCTGTCTGAAGGAAGGTATTTCACCATGGGAGGAAGACAGAATGATGCTCTCAGCTGGAGAATTTAAAACAGAGATAGGAGTCAGTAAAAAGCAAAACTGCCAGCTTCATTTTGCTCCCCAAGGCCAGTGTGCTGCACTGAGCTGGCCCTGCCAGCACTCAGAGGCCCCTGTCATATCTGCCTGTCCTTCCCAAGGTGCCAGCCCAGACAGCCCACCTCTCTGCGTAACTCATTTCCACATCATCTACACTTTCCAATAAGCTCTTACTCTGTTAGATTGCTTCCAGGAAGAGCCAAATATTAAAAATCACCGGTCAGTCAGTTCTTTATTCTGTTAGTCACCAAACTGATTTTTTAAGCTCAGAACCAATAAAGCTGTGACGGCAAAGAACGGATATAGATTTCTCGTTCCCACACACTCATATATAATAATAATAAAACTTTATTAAACAAGAGACATGTTGTTTCAGGGAATTTTTCTTTCCCTTCTCTGGTGCCCTGAGGCTAAAATATACAATCTTATTAACTTCCTGGAAGAAATACTCCATTCCCTTGGTGAAAATGCAGAACATTCATCTTCTTGGACCTGGAAAATGAGACAGGCCCTTGACGAAAAGGTGCGTGGGCCACAGTTCTATCCAGGGAAATCTAGGGAATTAGTGTGATTACAAAACTTCCCAGGAATCTCTGCAGAGTGCACGAAGCGCTTGGAATTGGCTACTCTGGGACATCCCAGGGCAGAAAGGAAAGGAAAAGGGATGCGACAGCAGGTTGGTCTTCTGTGGCACCCCAGATCTGAGGGAGGCTGGAACTTCCATTTAGACCACCCTCCCAGTCAATACATCGGGGGCTGAGACTCGCGCAGGGGTTATCACTTACCCAGAATGACACAGAATGGATGGTGAGCAGGAAACAGAACACGGGCATTCGTTCTGAGCACTCCCTTCTCTGCCTTCCACCCAGCAGTCCTGGCTTGATCTAAAAGGAAATGCGACAATGATTCCTGCACTGTCTGTTAGGAGGCTTCACACTGCTCAGGGAGATCAGGGGCTGTGTCCTCCCTTGCTTTTGCTCTCTGCCCACCGCAGAAACAAGAGCCATGCTATTCATGAGGCAGTGCATGTGTCAAAATCAGCAAAATCTGTTGAATGACTAAATGATCTCCACCAGGTGACGAATAAGATCAGAACACAGAAATCTAATTCATATAGTTCCATGTGACCATGGGAAGTGTTTGGTCCAGGCAGGGTCAACACTCAGAACCCTGAAGCCACTGTGTTCCTGTTTTCTAGGGTCAGAGCCTTGAAGAAGGTAGAAGACAAGGACGCAGGCTGCCACTAAGCATGTTCAGCCAGAATATTTGTCAATGTCTCATGGAAGGCTGTTTTGGCACACCTAGGCATTTGTGATTAGCTTTGGGAGGACCAGAGGAGGGGATGATCGTGGACAGGCAACACGCAGATCTCAGGCACTGACTGGGCCCTGAGACAAAGGAACGCCCCTATGTGCCAGCACCCAGCTCCGCACGGTGGCGTGGGGATTTAGGGTGGTCCTTAGGAGTGAGGGGCTGTTGTGAACTGAACTGTGTCCCCAAACAAAATTGCTTTAAGGCCTAACCCCCACTATGACTGTATTTGGAGGTAGAGCCTTTAAGGAGGTAATTAAGGTAATTATAGTTAAATAAGGTCATAGGGTGAGCCCTAATCTGATAGGACTGGCGTCCTTCTAAGAAAAGGATGAGATACCAGAGTTCTTTCTCTCTGTACCAGCACGCAGAGAACAGGCCACAGCAAGAAGAGGCTGTAAGCAAGAGGGAAGAGAAGCCTCTCTAGAAACCAACCCGGCTGGCACCTTGATCTTGAAACTCTAACCTCTGGAACTATGAGAAATACATTTTTGTGTCTTAAGCTATGCAGTCTGTGGTATTTTGTTATGGCAGTCCAAGCCACAGAGGACGGAGGCTGACAATGAGGGCCGGAGTCTCAGGCAGGACAAGTACAGCGGGAGTCAGGGCCAGGGGTGCAAGTTCTTGTTGCCAGCTCTGATATAGGCAAGTGGTCTGCACTTGGTGAGTCTCAGCAGAACAGAGCAGCCATGGGCTCTCCTGACTCTGATATTCTATGTTTTATCCTTTTCTGAGGTGCTAAAACAAGACATGTACTCCTTATCATTAGCTGGAGTCTCCCCAGGAAAATGGAAAAAGGATCAAATGACCTCTCAAGGCCATTGTCATCATAAGACTCTAACCCACTGGAACAACAGAGATTTATCACTGAAAATGTTTTATTGGGATTTTTGTTTTAAGCTGCAAGATTAGAAATCTTTTAACTCCATGTAAAAGAAGCAACCATGGGGTAATTGTAAACAAGTATCTATTTGTATTTCAGATTACATATTTCAGGTACCATTTAGTGAATCCAAATTAGGTACCTGTCAAATACACATGACGTTTAACAGGGGTTGTCTAGATATTTGTACTGTATAGGAAGTGCTTCTAACGCACATGACAGTTGCAAAGTGCTGGACAGATTCTCTTCCCTTCCTTCCCCCAACCATGAGGGTTAATTTGTAGGAATCCTCCCAATGTCCCTCTGACACCCACTCAGCATCAGCACTCTAGCTTTGGATGCTGGGCCCAGCCTCCACCCTCAGCCTCCCTGTCTGCAATGTTTTTCTGTAGATCCCATTTCAGATCAACCACCAAATGTTTTCCAAGCAATTACTGCGCACTCAACTCCGTGCTTAGCTCAACTCTGAGACAGCAACTAAAATGACCTCTGCGGTTACTTCCAACTTGAGAGACAGGGCAGGCTGCACGGACGTATGTTCTCAGGGAGCTTAGATATTACTCCCTCCATGAAGCCTCCCTAACTGTGGCAGGCAACATAAATGTACACCAAGCCCCATTCATTCCCTTTCCTCATGCGTGCAGAGATAGACTACATTTGCCTACCCTCCCTTCACGGAAATTGTGTTATTCCCTTCTCACGCTGTTAATAAAGACATTCCCAACTGGGTAATTTATAAAGGAAAGAGGTTTAATTGACTCACAGTTCCACATGGCTAGGGAGGTCTCACAATTATGATGGAAGGCAAAGGAGGGGCAACGTCATGTCTTACATGAGGCAGGCAAGAAAAAGATAGCGTGTGCAGGGGAACTCCCCATTATAAAATCACGAGAACGGTATGGGGGAAACCACCCCCATGATTCAATAATCTCCACCTGGCCTTGCCCTTGACATGTGGGGATCATTATAATTCAAGGTGAGATTTGGGTGGGGACACAGCCAAACCATATCAGAAATGTAGTCCCTTTCTAGATGGGGCCATGTGACAGTAGAAACATGGGTGGGAGTGATGTAAGTCCTTTCCACACCTGGATCTTAACACTTTCCTTTTAGCTTGTCTGTCAGTTGTAGAGGGAACTAGTATAAAATGTCAGGGTCCTTGGAGCTGGAGAGACCTGCTACATCCAAGAAGCCTGGATCCCTTAGTGACTGTGTGGAGTAGAACCACACACCCGCCCTCCAACCCCCTGCTGCCAACCCACATTAGACAGGGTGACAACAGTAAGAAGGAAACTTCTATTGTGCTAAGCCACTGAGAGTTGGGGGTTTCTTGTTATGGCAATTAGCATCTCAGAATGAATAAAATGATTGACTCTCACATTGGAAATAAGAGTCATTTGATTTCTAACTGAACATGCTCCCAGATGTGGGAACACTAATAGTACAATTTTCTAATTCCATAGAGCTATGAATGCAGACCATGGTCTCTCTGACTCCAGAGAGCATGATCTTGATCCATTTCTTCTCTAATACTCTCTGGGCTATAGTAGTAGCCATGGGATGCTGTGCGATAGCATAAGGAAAAAGCCTAACTCATCATACTCTTAAGTTGGTAAAACATTTTTAAACAGTGCATATGAGCATTCTTGTTGCATCAGGTGAATTCTTTCTCTCCTTTCACCAGCATGTTCCCATCTCATCCCCCAAAGTATAACCTCCCAAAATAAACTGAAACTGCTTTTGAGCTGGATCTAGGATCATTGCCTGGGTTCATCCTCAGGTCGAAGGCAGCAAGTTCACAGAGAGTAGGCTCTGTAGATGGCCTCTGTGACACTTTCCAAAACCTGCTGGGCTGCTCAGAGTGAGATCTGATGTGGTAACATGTTAGGTCTGCCACCCATAGGCGTATGGTGACAGAGAGGTCAGCAGGGGCCCGGGGCTGGGGGCCCAGAACTCTTGAGATGTGCTTCTCCTATTTAATTGAAAGGTTCGAAACTAGATAAGGTCATTGCATTCTCAATTATTGCCTTGCTAGGCTGCCTCCCCACACTGGGTCTTGGCAGCACTAGCTTCTGTATAAATCACATTCCAGCAGCATAACTGCAGAGCTTCAGGGATCATTTTGGAATTCTAGGATGTTAATGCATCAGGTTTTGTTCCAAGCAGTGAGCCACCTCCTGGGATTTGGGAATCTCTCTTTTAAATCCAGATAGTATTAATGAGCTAGTAAGGGCTTTTGACCCCTTTGACTCATTCTTTCACTCCCAGGAGTGCTCCGAGCTTCGGAACCAGCCACTTCTGCACCGTACTGCAGCCAGCCATGGGTTTGATATAGCCGCAGGCTTTCAATGCAACTGGTTCCGCTTGGAGGCATTCTAACTGCACTTTCTTTTTTTCTAAATTACTGACTAAACCTAAAAGTGCTTTGCACATGAAAGATCTGGGTAAATGTTTGTGGTTATTTTGGTGTCAATTGCACTGGTGTCCTATATAATGGAATTTGACCGGGAGCTGTCTCTAATTCTATTCCCAAGCAAAAACTACACTAGGAGGCCAAGGAGGTGGCCCTTGAGGGGGAAGACAATAAGAAAGACACATACTGGCAAGCAGTTGAATACCATTTAGCCTTTTAGCCAGGCCTGTCTCTCAATGCCCCTAACTTACATTTATTCACTTGAAAATGCCTCTTGTGACACTTACTGTGTCAGGGTCTGTTCTAAATGGTTTACAAACAATTTGCTCTTATGCATTGTTTTTTATGTCCACTTTACAATAAGCAACCTAGGACAACAGAGGTTAGGAAACTTGTCCAAAGTCATAGAAGCAAGTAAATGCTCATCACAGGTTTTGAAGTTGTGATGTCTGGCTCCAGGGATGATAAACTTGGCGACTGTACCATTCATTCTCTCCTCCACAGTTATTCCTGCCACTCTAACTTGGCCCAAACAGTCTATTCTATCTAGAATGTCTGTTCTCCCACTCTTCACGCTTCTAAATCCTAGCTCCTCTGTTTTTTTTTTTTTTTTTTTTAATTGTGAGATGGTGTCTCGCTCTGTCACCCAGGCTGGAGTGCAGGGGCCCAATCTCCGCTCACTGCAACCTCCGCCTCCTGGGTTCAAGCAATTGTCTCTGCCTCAGCCTCCCAAGTAGCTGGGATTACAGGCATCCACCACCACGCCTGGCTAATTTTTGTATTTTTAGTAGAGACGGGGTTTTGCCACACTGGTCTCGAACTCCTGACCTCAGGAGATCCACCGGCCTCGACCTCCCAGAGTGCTGGGATAACAGGTGTGAGCCACTATGCCCAGTCAACCAGCTCCTCTTTCAAGACCAACTTAATTCTTACATGGAGCCTTCCTGAACATTCTGCACCACACTGCAGTTGACTGGCTCCAAACTCCAATAACACAATCATTTGGAGAGTGACATTCAGAGCTAGACTGTAGAAATCTAGTTCAAACCTCAGCTCTGCCACTTAGTAGTTTTATGACCTCAGGTAAATAGCTTAAATTCCATGAGCCTAAGTTTTCTGATCTTTAAAATGAAAATAAATATCGCACCAACCTCATAGGGCTATTGAGAAGATTAATAAAATAACCATATCTAAATTACTTAGACTAGTGCTTGGCTCATACTATATGATATATATACATTATTATTAATTATTATTTCAAAATTCCCTCTCCTATTGCTTTTGGGTCACAGCTCTATTTTACTTGTATGATTCCTATACACTGTGAGACTGTACTCAACTTGGAGACGAAGATTGGCTATGTTCTGTTTTTAAAAAAATTCTCCAGCACTTAGATTAGCATACTGCAGACAGTAGGCACTTATTTAATAGCAATAATTAATTAATGAGTTGAAGGTAGCTAATATTATATCCCTGGCCACCAGGATTCAAAACTCTCTCTCACTGAGTTGCATATAAATATAAGTTGTAGGACCTCATCGATTTTGGAACAGTGCGTCTCAGGGGTAATTGAATCTGTCTTAGCTTAAAGAAGACCCATGCCTAAACAAGTTAACAAAGGCAGTCATTAATTGAGGTGGCCCAGTATGTAACTGTGGGATTTAAATATCAATAATCTGTAAAGAAGCACAATCCTCCAAGAATTTGTGGCTCCTGATGTCATCTTTTAAAGCTTTGCTTTCCAGTTTTGTCTTCAGGGAGGCCGCACTTATTTACGATGGGGATTCTGCAGACAAACCCTGCCAGGTGATTGAGAAACCATTTGAAGACCGATGCCTCATTATCACTGGCAGCACAGAGCAAAGGACCACTTAGAAAACCTTCTCTATTATTTGACTATTTGGAACCCTAGGTTTATTGATTTCAGAATATTTTTAATGAATCATCCTGAAGTCAATAAAGTTCCATGACTTGCAAGAGGTCAGGAAGCTACTGCAAGGCTCTGGGTCTGCAGCAGAAGGGCCCTCTGCAAGACAGCTGTCTGCTGCTCCTGCTGAAAATCTAGGCAAGAGTTTAATTCCATGCCAGCTCAGAGACCTCAAGTATTCAGCAGAAGTCTTTGTGCGTGCTCAGCTTGAAGAGGAAGAGGCTCCTGCAGTCTTCCTCTGAGCACTTAACATCTGTTTGTTATTGTTTTTGGGAAGTTAGCCTTCTGGAAGGAGGAAGATAAGGAATTATGGAGAGTGGAAACTACTTTTCTTACAACAGAAAGAACAGAACTGCAACATGTTCATAAATACCTTCTGGTTTTTCAAGACACTTTTTCTGGAGCATGGACGTCATCTCTCATCCCTGAGGTCATCAGCAGGGCTCCAAATAGCTATGATATTGACAGTGAGGCACCAGGAAGCAGATGTGGTTCCAGGTGGTTCTATTCCACTATTCTCCATTCCTCCATCTAAAAACATTCCCTGCCTGCTTTCACATAGAATCCTGTGTAGCTGACAAATCCTTTTTTCATGTTCAAGGACAGGTTTGGGATGAGTTGATATTTCATCTCCTGCTGGCCTGACTGCCCCAAATGAACTATACATTAAATGGCATCCCACAGGCTACTCAGAAAGGAATTGCTTTTCTTTGGCCCTATATCTTGGGAGGTGTGGAGGAAAGGAGATGACTAGTTAGGTCCGGGGAAAGAGAAGCAGTGAGTGTTGACCTCCCCTGGAGGTGCCTTTGCTATGGTGGCAAGGTTGTTGTGTGTGTCACTTGTGAGTGCTTTCCCTACTCCTTCTAAAATAACACTCTCCCTAACTCGCTTAAGTCATGCTTAGTATTGTAAACATTGTTAAGAACATCCATTTCCTTGTTACACCTCAGCACCTTTCCCATAACATTACATCCTTCTTCACACATTTTATCTCATTAGATATTTCACACAGTGTAAATCACCACCACTAATCATCTCTCAATTTGTATCGCTAATCTCCATGTGAACAAGCAGATCCCTGGTCCAGCTCTCATCATCTCACACTCAGGTGATGGTGGTTGACCTGGACATTCTGCCTCTCTGTTCTTTGCACACCAGTTTATCCTGTCCTCTCCAGCAGATTAATCTTGTCACTGCTTTCCTCAAGAAAATTCAGTGGCTCCCCTTTGTCTACTAAAAGTTAAGCTTAGCCTGATTTTTAAGGCCTTCTGGAATCTAGCTCTAATCTCTCTTTTCTGCCAGTCCCTCATCTACACTTTGTAATTCTCATCATTCCCAAATTTGCACCACACTTCTGACTCCTTGCATTGCCACATAACATATTCTCATCTTGGAATGTGCAACACCCTCTTCCTTCCTTCATCTGTCAAGTCATTTGGCAAAGAAAGGGCGCCCCCACCCTCCTAACTTCTGCTATCTTACAGAATTTGGTTTGTTTTAATCACTTCACATTATTACCCACTGCCTTGTTTGCAGAGATGTTGAGTGCCTCCTACCTACATGACTGGACCCTTAGCTTGATGCCCTATGACGCAGAACATCAGGTCTGTCACCCCCACCCCAGGTTCTCACCTTCCCACATTGGTACTTACCTACATAGGGCCAGGAATATAACAGGTGCTTCAGAAACATTTTAAAAATAAATGATATACATTCCAGCTGTGGGAACTAGGTGGTTGAGATACAATCCTGTGCAAAAGAAAAATAATCACATCTATTTTATTGTCAGTATTATTGTTGGAAACACATCTTGAGGTACCAACCCCTAGTGGAATCTTTCTTTATCTGTGGTGGCCCTGAGGGAAGGAGCTCCCCCATCCCCCAGTGTCAGGAGGGGGAACCGCCTTGACCTTTGCAAACATGATTTTCTCCACTTGGAATACCTTCCTTTCCTTTCTCCATACGCTCTTTCTCAGTTTTCAGTACCCACACTAAATATTGTTGTCCTGATGAATCCTTTGGCAGATCTCATCTCTCCATTGTCACTCTATGTGACTAAAAAATACATAAAAGTAATAGTTACCATAATCTCCTGGGACATCTATGACCAGATTATTTTGAGAGTATGAACCTTATTCCATCTGTGGACCTGTGGCCTGTTGGAAATGGCCCTGTGTGCTGCTTTCTACTAGTCACAGAAAGGTGCGGGCTTTGAGCCTCTCTTCCTGGCTCTTGCTTCATGCAGCGCACTGGCATTCTGGTTTTCTCCACTCCTACCTGCGAGATCTGCATAGCTGAGTTGAAAATGTGAGCCTCTTCTTCAGTGACCAAGGATCAAAGATGGTGGACATTGAAGACGGTGCCTTCTGTCCCGTGTGTGACAGCCTTTGGCCCTCTGCACGCCTCTGCTTTGGAGTTCTGTCTTCTCAGATACAAGATTCTCTGTAGATCCTTGAGGGCGCTGAGCCTGCCCCTAGCATGGAAATGGGACTCAGGATCTGTGTACTCGCTGAATGAACTGAATGAACAATGGCCAGAGGCTTTCTTCCCCGTTTCAATGTATATTCCCATTCTTGGGTGCGTGGCTATGTATACTTCATGATTAAGAGGAACTGAAGTAGGTCAAATGAGGGAAAACAATGAACAAATCCATAACTTATATTTAGGTTTAAGCTACTCACTCTTTTCACCTGAGGTCCTCTGTGCTTAAATCAAACTTTCAGGCATTTGTGGCCAAACATAGAACCTTTGTGATAGCTGCATCCTGGAGGTTTTTCCTAAATCCAGGTCCAACACTGCTTTTTTCTTTAAATGTGATCCACTAACTCAGTCTTTGTCTTTAATTTTTATTTTTACTTCCTCTAGCTCCATTATATCCCTTGGGGTTATTCAGTGTGGGAGGCACCATAAGCCCTAGGCCCGATGACCTTTACTCATGATCACCATGTGGAAGTGAAATGGGGAAACAAGCAATACATACTCTAACCCCGCTGAAATTACAAAAGGGTAACAATTTCAGGCATGCCCTGGCTCCCATTCCCGGCTTCTTTCTAATATGGTAGCTGGCTGAGGGAGGTATTGTGGCCCAGCAATTGCTTTGTATCCCAACCCAGACACCTGTTAATCGAGAGGGACTTGGGTGACCTCTGTGCCCTTTGTGTCCTCGGTTTTATCATCTGCAAAAACAGGACACTGCTATTTGCCTCTCAGGGTGGGTGTGAGTGTCCCATAGGTTGCCACCTCTATGCTCTTAGCCCAGGGTCTGTGATGTCCTTACAGCTCAGACCATGGTAGTTAAAGTCGCTACAGCAGCTCTGGATTGGCAGCCATGGGAGGTACTGGGTGCAGGGTTAGCTTTTTCTTTCTAGAAGTGGTGCTTGCAGAAACCCTGTTCCCTCCTCTCCCAGCCTCCTCCCCTTGTTAGCGCTATTTCTCGAGCCAAGGGCGAGAACAAATTGCCTAGAGCTTTGCTAGCTTCAGCAACTCAAGCCAAGGAGCCAACAGGCAGAGGTCAAAGCCAAAGTCTTACTATGGGGAGAAATGCAAGTTGGTTTTCTTGAGGCGGCCTCTGGAAGGAGTCCAGATACTCATAATTGCTAAGAATATATGTTGCTTATTTACTTGGGTACCTGGACTCGACTTTAGGCAGCCATGGCTCCTGACTTCTGTTTCTTTCCTCCATGACAGGACAGGAGCCTGACCTCCCCAGATATCAAAGACGAAACCATACACTCTTTGGAATGAAAAAATGAATGAGTGAGTGAGTGAATGAATGAATGCATACATGAACATAAGAAAGATAAGGCCTCCTACAGTAATCCCAAATCTAAACCTACAGCATTTCCTTGGAAGGACAATGTATATGTAAATAGAGCCATCACCTTCAAAATGTCAGGCCTCAGAAGGTTCCTCTGCAGTTTACAAAGGCCACTTCACATTTCTCCACGAAATTCCAAAACTTGACAGCTTTCTTAAACACAGTCATGGCATGGAATAAAAGCTTCAAAAATTATGCTGTTTGAGAAGTAAACTATTTACTGTTCAGAGGAAAAATTTTCAATGTACTTCACAGCTATCAAAATGGAACCCGATGACACAACAGTGATTTAAAATGTAAATGAGACCTTTAGTCATGCAGATAAGGGACCAGCCATGGCCCAAGTCTAGTTCTTCTGAGGAAGAAGCTAAATCTTAGCCATTCAAGGGACAGACTAATGTACTTACTGGGTCACTGGCTGGACCAGGCCTTCGACTACCTACATTTGCAGGATTTAATGCCACTTCCACCCACTGGCTCCCAAAGATATAAAGCAGGTACTACAAATGCCTGCCTGAAGACACATTTTCACAACAGAAGTATGCAGTACATGAAGTCTAGGTTAATAATCAAAGCAGATGTTCTTAAAAAAGGAAGGCAGTCATGCGCTGTATAACAAAGTTATGATCAATGACAGACTGCATATACTACAGTGGTCCATAGGCTGAAAATGTACTGAAAAATTCCTATCGCCTAGTGATACCTTAGCTGTGGGAACATTGTAGAACAATGCATTGCTTGTGTGTTTGTGGTGATGCTGGTGTAAACGAACCTATTGCACTGCCAGTCTTATAAAGTATAGCACATACAATTACATACAATACATAATACTTAATAATAAATGACTGTATTACTGGGTTATTTATTTGCTACATTATATATTTTATCACTATGTAGAGTGTACTCCTGCTTCTATATATAAAAAATAACTGTAAAACAGCTGAGGCAGGTCCTTCAGGAAATATTCCAGAAGAAGGCATTGTTATCATTGGAGATGAAAGCTTTGTGTGGGTTATTAACCCTGAAGTCCTTCCAATGGGACAAGACATGGAGGTGGAAGACAGTGATAATGGTGATCCTGATCCTGTATAGGCCTGGGCTAATGAGTGTTTGTGTCTTAGTTTTTTTTTTTTTTTTTTTTGAGACGGAGTCTCGCTCTGTCGCCCAGGCTGGAGTGCAGTGGCGCGATCTCGGCTCACTGCAGGCTCCGCCCCCCGGGGTTCACGCCATTCTCCTGCCTCAGCCTCCCGAGTAGCTGGGACTACAGGCCCCGCTACCTCGCCCGGCTAATTTTTTGTATTTTTAGTAGAGATGGGGTTTCACTGTGTTAGCCAGGATGGTCTCGATCCCCTGACCTCGTGATCCACCCGCCTCGGCCTCCCAAAGTGCTGGGATTACAGGTGTGAGCCACCGCGCCTGGCCTTGTGTCTTAGTTTTTAACAAAAAAGTTTACAAAGTAAAATAAATAAATAAATAAATAAATATATAAAACTTATATAATAAGGATATAAAGAAAGAATTTTTTTTTTTTTTTTGGGAGATGGAGTCTCTCTGTTGCCCAGGCTGGAATGTAGTGGCATGATCTCAGCTCACTGCAACCTCCACCTCCAGGGTTCAAGTGATTCTCCTGCCTCAGCCTCCCAAGTAGCTGTGACTATCGGCGTGCGCCAACACGCCCGGCTAATTTTTGTGGTTTTAGTAGAGATGGGGTTTCCCCATGTTGGCCAGGCTGGTCTCAAACTCCTGATCTCAGGTGATCCACCTGCCTCGGCCTACTAAAGTGCTGGGAATACAGGCATGAGCCACTGTGCCCAGCCCAGAAAATATTTTTGTACAGCTCTACAATGTGTTCATGTTTTAAGCAAGTGTTATTACAAAAGAGTCCAAAAGTTTTAAAATAGTAAAAAGTCTCTAAAGTAAAAAAATTACATATTTACAAAAGCTAAGGTTAATTTAGTATTAAAGAAAACAATTTGTATAACTTAAGTGTAGCCTTATATATATATGGTGTTTAGAAAGTCTAAAGTGGTATACAGTTGTGTCCTAGGCCTCCACATTCATCACTCACTCACTGACTTACCCAGAGGAACTCTGAGTTCTGTAAGCTCCATTTATAGTTAAGTGCCCTATACAGATGTGCTGTTTTTTAATTGTTATTACCGTATTTTTACTGTAACTTTTCTGTGTTTAGATATGCAAATACTTGCCACTGTGTTACAATCGCTCACTGTATTTAACATAGTGACATGCTGTCCAAATTTGTAGCCTAGGAGTGATAGGCTACACCATATAGCCTAGGCATATAGTAGGCTATACCACTTAGGTTTGTGTAAGTACACTCTATGACATTCACATAAACGATGAAATTTCCTAAGGATGCATTTCTCAGAACAGATCCCTGTCGTTAAGCAATGCATGACTGTATGTGACCTCCAGGAATAGAAGGTTGTCTGTGAACTACATTGTGATTTGTGCTTTGTGCCCACTGAGTCCCCTCCCTGTGGGTATAACTGCATCTCAGTCTTTGGAGGTACATATGTGCATATGTAACACTCTAGGGCTCTATGCCCTAAGAGTACGTCTGATTCAATAAACCTCAAACATTCCTGTTTAATTTTGTAAGATGAAGAGGACCCGGCAGGACTCCTTCATGAGCAGTGGTCAACACCGTCTGCACAGATCCATTAGCTCCCCCTTAGCTGTGGGCACCTGCTGCCCCGGGGCCTGGCGGTTGACTTGGGGTTGGTGCCAGAGCCTGTGGAGCCGGAGCTGTTCATAGGTTTCCTGATAGGAGCTGGCAGACGTTGCCTGGGTAGGGGTAGAACTAGATGACCTCTAAGTTCCCTTCTAATCTTAAGATCCCATGACAGGCATAGATGACATATTCTGCAGCATTAAACTATCAACCTTCTTCCACATAGAGCTATAACACTAAAGACTTTTTGGAAGTCTCTCCCACTTTTTTTCAGAATACCAGTCCAAAGTGCATGGCTTTAGATAGTAATATCCATTTTGGTCTTTTTTTTAAATTGCACCATAGTATTAATATATTTATATGAAAACACAGGATCATATATAAAATGACTCATACACAAAAAATTGTGAACACTTCATAAATGCAGCGAAGATACTCAAGCTCTAGGCAGGGCTAAGTCAAACTTATTTTTTAGAGGAATATAGAAACCAGTAAAATAAACCAAGGAAATCACCTATGTATATAAAATTCTGGGTACAATTTAGTTCAATTCAGTTCAATGAATATATATTGAGTGCTTACTAAATGCTGGGCACTGTGCTAGGCTTCAGATCCATTCAAAGAAGGCCTGTTTGTTTCAGGGATTGGGAGTTTTCACAGGGGTAGGGAGGGAGAAATCAGACCAAGAGCACAGAATCATTTTATTACTGAGGGCCAATCATAGGCCAGGCCTTCTGCTGCACTAAGCATTCTATGTGTATGTGTGTATATATATACATTTATATATATATGCATTTGTATATATAATAGCTAATCCTTAACTCAGCAAAGGTAGTCATTCTTATTCCCTATTTTACATACGAGAAAACCAAGTCATAGAGAGGTTAAATAACTTAACCCAGCTCACCCAGCTATTAAGTACTGGGCCAGATTTTGAAAAGGTGATTGTCTGACTTCATAGCCAAAAGGGTGTACATTATCCCTACATTTCAGCCCATGTTTCACCATCTTCTGTCATGGCCAGAAATACCTGGCAGAAAGGAGGAAGGAGGGCCTCAACCTGTCCTATGACTCTTGGTGAGAGCTGATCCCCTGGTGTGCAGCTCCTTCTCCAGGCCCCCCTGCACTGCCTAAGCAAGCCCTCTCCCCTGCTATTTTATTTTAAATGGGCAAGATCACAATCCAGGTAGGAAGTGGTGGACAGCTTTTGAGCCTGGCTTTGAGCTGTGTTAAAGATTCCAAGTAGTCCATTTAGGTCAAGTGTTTTCCAGCCACCTTCCTAAAGTCTTTCTTCTGTTTAAGTCAAGACTACACGTGCAACCTCTCTGATGCAGGGTCTACTCAGCAGTGGTGAATGGGGTTATCTACCCTGAGGCCTGGTTCCTGGCCAGGGGGCAAAGCTTGCCTGGAAGTGAGGCTTTGTAAAGTTGCTCGGCATGCTTCCCTAGAGTAAGCCTTCTAGTCCCTCTCCTAGTGTTGGAGCCAGTTCTTCACCAAAGGGGATGCTTATATGAAAACAGCAGGTTACCCCTGGCAGCAGAGATACATCTTTGCCCCCTGTGATGGGCTCCACTAGTCTGGCAGCTACAGGCAAGATGTGTTTTATTCGTGAACGTCCTTCTTGTTTCAGCAGATAATGGACTCTAGTTAGGAGACAACACAGTAAACACAGCATAAACGTCGGGATATGGAGCCGGAATGAGTCTGAATATAAATAAGAGCGCTGGGATCCAGGGAGGTAATAAGTCAGGAATGCAATGAGGAAGGTTATTAAAAGTGAAGCTTGTAAAAATCTGCAACAGGCCTGCAAGCGTGCAGCATTTCTTGATTACAAAAGGACTAAAGGCAGCAGCCTGTCTCATCTCTGCTGCTGACTAGCTGGGTGACTGGACACCTCACTTAAAATCCTGCTGTCACACACTTTGTTCAATCATAAAATTGGAATTTTACATACTTAAAAAATCCACAAAAACGTTCTAGGGCTGTTGTAAAGATTTGTACTGAAAGCGTTATGAAAAAGGCTGAAAATGCTGCACAAATGCAAGGTTATATTATTCTTAATTTTTGAAAGTGGCTGAAATTACTCTTACACATCCAAATCCTCTTGTTGGTTGAATATTAAGCAAGGTTCTCTTTTATAACAGAAGTCTCTCAGGAATGCATCAGGCATAAAAAGGAACCAAAAGTATTGCCTGCTGTGTTATTGTAGAACAGAAAGACACTTTTATTAGCTCTGTATTTGTCAGGATATGGTGGGCTATGCTGCAATAACAAGTACATCCTGAAATCCCAGTGGCTTAACAATAACAACAAAAAGGAGGATGTTGATATTTTTCTGAGGCAATGCTACTCATTGTGTCTTGGGTATTTCTCCCATGTCTTTCCTCCAAGAAGTGAGTTCTGAGTCTTAGGCTGCTTCTGTCTAATTGCCTGGCATTACCACAGAAGGGAAAGGGCTGGAGGAGCCCATCATGAGGAGATGTTCACAGTCAGGCCATGTGGTTTATCACTTCCACTCCTATTCCATTGTCCAGAACCCAGTTACATGGCTGCAACACAAAGCAAGGGAAGCTATGAAAAGTAGAGGAGCCTATGGATGTTTTGGTGGGCACGTGTCTGCCTTACCTTTCCTAAAGTGAGTGCCTGGCTAATGAATGTACAAGGAACTCTAGTAGCTAGAGAAGAGACTATACTACTTTGATATAACCCTTCTGGCCAGTAAGTCTGTGGAAAGGATTATGAACTTTCATATACCCGGGGCAGAACAAGATATCCAAAAGGACTTACTAAGCAGCTATAGACTTGCTATGTGGGTTCATTGTGACTTTAATTCTGGAAATTGGTGTGTCTGCTTCCTGGTTTATTCAAGGTAACACTTAAGTAATTTAACCATATTTCCAGGCTAATTGCTTCTATGCCATCTTAGCAGCTATGATATAATTGGGATAGTATTACCTTTTAGCCTTCTAATGCTAAGGCTAATAGCTTTGGTCAGGCAGTTTACTATTGATTAGAAGACTTTATTAAAAGCCTAGAATTATTATGTGAAAAGAAAAACTTGTTAAATGCAGTCATATATATCTTATAGCCTAACATCTGGCATTTTCATAGGCTGAATTCATCATAAATTGCTGACATTAGTTACTACCTGCAGACTGTTTCAATTTTAAAGTCATTCACTGGTAGCTTTTAGAGTTACAGAAGATATCTCAGCATCAAGGTATCTGAGATTCCAGTGTTAGGACTACATGTGAACAGAATGGACATCTACGCAAAACAATCGTTACCTTCAAATAGCAGTCTGCATTTAAGCTAATTTTAAGTACTTTTTCCAGATGGACAACCAACTGTTTTCATCAGTGTTTGGAACTTTCCAGCAGTAAAATGCTGGTGTGTAAAGGTTACTCTTTCATTTTATCTTCAGCAATGCAGTCTTTTCTTACACTGAGTCGATTCTTTCAATTCGTGAGCTTGATGATTTGAATTCACTAATCCTAAACTCCATCTGCTTGTTGCCTGTCAACAGCTGAACAGATTTCAATAAGTTTAGCAACTGTAAATACATCTTTGAATAAACCTGGATGATTTGTAGGATTTAAACATTGAGGATGGTCAGCCATTATATTTATTTAAGACTTATAGATATGGATCTCTTCACGTCTCATCATCCACAAGGGCAGATAAGAATTTCCTACTTTCTCATATTTAAAGTGGTTACCTCGTTTCCTTCCAAACTTTGCAGGAGAAAGGAAATCCAGACTAAATTTAAACTGCCTGACCTGTTCCCTCTGGTTTCCCTAAGTACTTGAAATTCATCATCCATGCATCCTTTTTGCATTTCTAAAAGTTTTTCTATAGAAGAAACAAAAGATAAAAGAAAAAATGCAATACAATATATAACTTCTGTGTATTATTTTAATTTGTAAATATATTTTTTACAAATATATATATTATATGATATATAAATATTTTATTTTGAGTATATTCTGATAGCAAAAGTTATAGTACTTTAAAGGCACTGTTGAAATGTTTGAAAAATACAGTAAACTTTTTAGAAATCCCAGGAATTCCCAGTAACACATATTGATATAAGAAAAAATGAATTATGTGGCCACCTCTTTTTCCATAACTACCACTTACTATAAGCATATTACATTTCAAATATTGCCAAGTATTTTTCCATGTATTATTTCATTAATATTTCCAAACAATGTGAGTTACACACTGTCTTCATTTCACAAATGTGAAGAGCAAGTCTGAAAGAGGTAAGAACCTTACCAAAGTCACGTGGCTGGTAAGTAGAGGAGCTGGGATTCGAACTTGGGTTTCCCCTCTATCTTCTCCTTTCATTTCTTTTGTTTGTCTTTATTGAAGGAGTTGAGTGGTACCAGTGGAAGAAGAGAAATCTTTCTTCATGTTCTTTGTTGCTTCCACAAAGCCTGGGTTAATTAGGTAAAATAAGATGCTCAAATTTTGTTTCACAGATGTCCTTTGATATTTCTGTTTCAGATGGTCCTTTGAAGGGACAGCTGGGCAGACATGCTAACTTCCTTCTATTGTTATATTAACCAGAGATGGATGTAGGCATCTGAACTTGAGCTAGAGTCCTTTTGTCTGTATTTCTACCATAAAATAGAGATTCAAGTACATTTCATATTTTCATATTGACAAACAGCCTATACCTTTAATTGGTTACCTTTTTTAAAGTAAAAGTATACCAGGGTATTTACATACACTTAAATTAACTCATTTTAAGTATACAATTCAATGAGTTTGGATAAATATCTATGCTCATTAACCACAAGCACAACAAAGATAGAGATTTCTATCACTCCAGAATGTTCCTTTCTGTTTGCAGTAGCTCCTTCCTGTTTGTTTGTAGTCAATCTCTACTACCACATATTTGGCCCAGGCAATCATTGATCTGCTTTATGTGATTTTAGATTTGATTTGCATTATGATAGGAATTTAAATAAATGGAACCATACAATACCTATTCTTTGTGACTGGCTTTTTTTTCTTTGTCAGAATATGTTTTTGAGATAAATCTGTTTTGTTGCATGTATCAGTAGTTTGTTCTTTTTATAGAAGTGGGGTAAAATACTATCCATTGTATAAATACAACACAATATACATTTGTTTATCCATTCACCTGTTGATAGATATTGGGGTGGTTTTCAATGTATTTCAGGTCAGATGTTTCCATAAGAGAACATATGTTTTCATTTCTCTTGGGTAAATATCTAGGAGTAGTACTACTTGTTAATATGGTAAAAGTATGCATAACTTTATAGGAAACCAACAAATTGTTTTTCAAAGTGGTATACTTCTACCAGCAATGTATGAGAATGCAAGTTGCTTCATATCTTGACCAACGCTTGGCATTACCAGTCTTTTAAGGTGTTGGCCATTCTAATATATGTATTAGTTTTAATTTACATTTCCTTATGACTAAGGGTTTTAAGCATCTTTTCAGGTTTACTTCTCTCTCTTTTATATTTCTGTTTAAATGTGTTGCCCTTTTAAAAAATTGCATTGTTTGTCTTCATATTGTTGAATCGTAAGAGTATGGTATATATTCTGGATAGAAATCATTTGTCAGATGTATGTATTGAAAATATATGAACATAGCCTATTAGCGCTATTTGATTCGCGCATTTTGAAGAACAAATGTTTGAAATTTGGATGAAATCCAAATTATCAGTGTTTACTTTTTTTGCCTTATCTAAGAAATCTTTGGTCCTATCAAAACAATAAGTTTTTTGATTCTATCTAAGCAATCTAAAGTCACAAAGATTTTTTCCTATGCTTTCTTCCAAAGTTTCAGAGTTTTAAGTTTTTATACTTAAGCCCATGATCACTTCACATTAGCTTTTATGTGTGATAGTTAAGGTGTGAGGTAACTGGTTGGGCTTTGTATTTTTCCATATGGATATTTGGTTGTTCCAGCATCATTTGCTGGGAAAATAATTATTTCCCAATTGAATTACCTTGGCATCTAAAAATTAGTTGACTATATGTATATATAGTGTGTGTGTATTTTAGGCTTGAAATTCTTTCTTATTGATCTATGTGTCTATTTCTATGTCTTACTATAAGTTTATAGTAAATCTTGAAATTAGGTTGTATAATTGTTCTGTTTTTATTTTTTCTAAAATTGTTTTAAGTATTCTATATTTCTTAAATTTTCATATATACTTGGGAAACAAGTCACTTTCTTAAAGCATTCTGCTGAGAATTTAGGTTCAGTTGAAATTGATAGATCAATTTGGAGAGAATTAACATTATGAGTCTTCCATTCATAAACATGTAATGTGTACCCATTATTTTAGTCTTCCTTAATTTTTTAAAGCCAAATTTTACAGTTTCAAGTAAACAAAGCTTGCACGTATTTTGTTAATTTTATTCCAGAGTATTTCATTTTTGATGTATTCTAAATGATATTTTAAAAAATTCAATTTCCAATTGTTTTAGTACATAATTGATTTTTGTATATTGATCTTGTTTCCTGTAACTCTATTAAACTCATTCTTAGTTCTAAAAGCTTTTATGTAGATTTATTAGGACTTCCTATGTATATTAAATTAATTAATTACTTAATTATTTTAGAGGGTGGCCCAGGCTCTAATGCAGTGGCATGATCTCAACTCACTGCAGCCTCAAATTCCTAAGCTCAGGCAATGCTCCCATCTGAGCCTCCTGAGTAGCTAGGACTACAGGTGTGCACCACCATGCCCAGCTAATGTTTTTTATTTTTGTGTAGAGATGGGGCTTCACTCTGTTGCCCAGGCTGGCCTGCAACTCCTGGCCTCAAGTAATCCTCCCATTTCGGCTTCTCAAACCACTGGGATTACAGGCATGAGCCACTGCACCTGGCCTACACTTTCATGTATTGTATTATCTTATGTGCTAACATTTTGTTAAGAAACTTTGTTTCTGTATTATAAAATATATTGGTCTTCAATTTGCTTTACTTATATATCTTTGTCTAGTTTTGGTATGACATTAATGACAACCTCATAACATGAAATACAAAACATACTTACATCTTCTCATTTGAAAGAGTCTTGGTGTAGAAATTATTACTTTCGGCCAGGTGTGGTGGCTCACGCCTGTAATCCCAGCACTTTGGGAGGCCGAGGAGGGTGGATCACGAGGTCAGGAGATCAAGACCATCCTGGCTAACATGGTAAAACCCCGTCTCTACTAAAAATACAAAATTAGCCGGGCATGGCTGTGCATGCCTGTAATCCCAGCTACTCGGGAGGCTGAGGCAGGAGAATTGCTTGAACCAGAGAGTCGGAGGTTGCAGTGAGCTGAGATCGTGCCACTGCACTCCAACCTGGTGACAGAGAGAGACTCTGTCTCAGGAAAAAAAAAAAAAAAAAAAAAAGCCCTATTTGACTACCACAGCCCTCACCTGTCTGTCTCTGATAGTTCTATACCACACAAAGACTGGAAAAAAAGAAATAGCAACTCCATAACAGGGACTGTGCTATCCACATGAGTGCAAAGAAGAATAACGTATGACTCCTTTATATATATAGCCTAGTGTACGTATCCACATGAGTGCAAAGCAAAATAACATATGACTCCTTTATATATATAGCCTAGTGTACGAGGCAGCAGAGATACCTGTGATTAGGATGCTATAGGATCGAGACAGAGATATTGATGGGCCCTGTGCCTTCTTCTAGTTCTGTGTTTACAGACGGGTCATTTCTCTGATCCTCAGCTTTTCCATCCTTAAAACGATGAAATTAACAATTATTTTATAGGGTGGCTTAATACATTAAGTGGGATAATGGATGTAAAATGCATGGTAAAGGTCTGACCTATAGTGGGTGTGAAATCACCATTTTCTAGTTGGCAGTGAGCTGAGATCATCATGCCACTGCGCTCCAGCCTGGCGACAGAGCGAGACTCCATCTCAAAAAAAAAAAAAAAAAAAAGAAATTATTACTTTCTTAAGTGTTTAATAGACTTCACTAGTGAATACATATGTATCTGTCAGCAGTCTTCTTTATTAGAAGGCTTTAAATCACAAATTGATTTATTTTAATGGATTATTGCTATTAGATTTTCCGTTTCTTGTGCTGTTTTGCTAATTTGTATTTTTCAAAAAAAATTTGCCCATTTAATCTAAGTTGTCAAATTTATAGCCATGTAATTGTTCATAGTATTCTCTTCTTCTGAAATGACTATTATAATAATAGTAATATCCCATCATTAATTTCTGATATTGGTAATTTATATCTTCTACTTTTAACAAATTTTATTGAGGTTTTTAAATTTCCAGTTTTTAATTTCACTAGTATTTCTCCATTCTTTGTTTTCTAATTCATTGATTTCTGTTCCTATATATATTACTTCCTATCTTTTTCTAACTTTGGGTTTAATTTGTTCATTTATTTAGACTCAAAGGGGAAATTTGGATTCTTGATTTCAGGCATTTTTGCTTTTCTAAGGTAGCATTTAAACTACAAATTTTACTCTACTACTTTAATCGTACCTCACAAATTTTGATAAATTGTTCTTCTATTACTATGTAGTTCAAAATATTTTCTAAATTTCTTTTTGCTTTATACTTTGAACCATGAAATATTTAGAAATGCATTAAATTCCAAATATTTGTATATTTTTTGTTTTTGTTATTTATAGTTTAATTCTATTTTAGTCAGAGAATATAGTGTATGTAATTTAAATTATCTTACATTTATTGAGACTTGTTGTACCACCCAGAATATAGTATATTTTGGTTGCTGTTCCATGTGTATTTGAAAATAGTGTGTACTTTGTCATTATTGAATATAATATGCTATGAATGTCATTTTGGTCAAGTAGTTTGAGAGTGTTATTCAAGTCTTCTATATTCTTATGATATAGTATAAACAAGATATAGTAGTAGAGTTTTCTATTTTTACTTTTGTTCTGTCAGCTTTTGTATTTGGAAGCTGTTGTTAGATGCTTACACATTTATGATAATGAATGCTCAAGAATGGTCAATTTTCTTATCATAATATAAAAATACGAAAATTTTCATATTACTGTGATTTGTCCACCTTTTTCTTTTAATCCATCTTCTTTCTTTTAATCTATTTTATTATTTGTCTATTTTTACATTTAATCTATCTGAATCTTCATATTTAAAATGAGTTTTTGTGGAGCACACAATTGGGCTTAGCTTTGTTATCTGTTCTGGAAATCTCTGTCTTTTAATTTGAGTATATTTAATGTAGTTATCACTTAACACTTTGTTAAGTCTACTATTCTTCCTTCTGTTTTCTATTTGTTCATGTTTTCTTTGGTCTTTTCTTCTTCCTCTTCTTTGTTCATTTGTATGTAGTATTGTGAAATATTCCATTTTATCTCTGCTACTGGAGGTTGCTCTTGGGTGGTGATTCTCAAAGTGTGGTTCATAGTCCATCAATATTAGCTGATATATTCTCTTATCAGCCTTGTTTCTCTAGCCTTGGCATAGGCCCATTTCCAGTCTTACTGAATCAAAAACTCTGTTGATATGACCCAGCCATCTGTCTCATTAAGCTGTCTCGGTGAATCTGATGTATCCCAAAGTTTGAAAACCATTCCTCCAGCACTTAAAATGTGCATATTTAACACTTCACAGTCTACTTTTAATTATACCACTTTGCCTAGACGAGTTTTAAAACAGTTTGCTCTCATTTGCTCCCTCCTGTTATTGGTGCAATCATTGCCATAATTTCTTTTTCCACCTTTATTATAAGTCCTACAATACATTTTACTTTTGCCTTTAAACATTTCATTGGAAACATGAGATTCAATCTTTTACAATTATTTATATATTTACCATTTCTGTTGGTTTTCTTTCCTTTATGTCAAGGTCAGCTTACAGAAGAAGTTCCTTTACTGCTTTTTGCAGTAAAGTTTTCTACTAACAATAGATTCAGCTTTTGTTAGTCTGAATATATCTTTATTCTACTTTTATTTTTATCGGTATTTTCACTGAATATATAATTCTAGGTGGACTTTTTTTGAGCTCTTCAAAGCTATTATTCCATTTTCTTCTTATTTGTGTTTCTTTTTTTTTTTTTTTAATACCTGAAATCTGTGTTTATTTACTCATTGTTTTTTTTGAGAAAGAGTCTTGCTCTGTCACCCAGGCTGGAGTGCACTGGCGTGATCTTGGCTCACTGCAACCTCTGCCTCCTGGGTTCAAGCAATTCTCCTGCCTCAGCCTCCTGGGTATCTGGGATTACAGGTGCATGCCACCACACCTGGCTAATTTTTGTATTTTTAGTAGAGACAGGTTTCACCATATTGGCCAGGCTGGTCTTGAACTCCTGACCTTGTGATCCACCTGCCTCGGCCTCCCAAAGTGCTGGGATTACAGGCTTGAGCCACCACGCCCGGCCAATCTGTGTTTATTTTTACATTTGCTCTTTTATGTCTAGTGTATCTTTTTACTCTAATAGTTTTTGAATATTTTCTCTATCACTGCTTTAGAGCTAGTATACTACGATGTGTTTGGTATTACTTTGTGTTTATATTGGTTGGTTTCATTGAGCTTCTTAGCGCCCTGTAGGTTGGTAGTTTTCATCAAATTTGGATAATTTGGGGCATTAGGTCCTCAAATATTTTTCCATTCCCATAGTTTGTCTCTTATTGTCGTTGTACACAGATCACTGAGGTTCTGCTTATTTATTTATTTATTTTGGGAGGATTTTTCTCTTCGTGGTTATATTGGTAGATTTAAAATTCCAATATCTTCACATTCACAAAGCTTTTCTTACTCAGTGTCTAATCTGCTATAAAGCCCATGTAGGGAGTTTTTCTTTTTAGGTATTCTATTTTTCAGCAGTAGAATTACTTTTGTTTCTTTTTATATCTTCTGTTTTCTGCCTCCTTCTAGGTATATTTCTCCTTCGACTAGTTCTATTTTCTCTGTGATTTCTGGGCATGTTTTATTGATTAATTTTTCTTCTGATTTTAGGTCATACACATTTGCTTCCCCATATTTTGTCCAGTGATATTTGATTGGATGTCTGATATTGTTTATTATATTGTTGAATGTATGGATTTTATTTCTTTCTTTAAAGAGTGTTAAGATTTTTTTTGTTTGTTTTTGGCAAGCAATTAACCCATTTATGCCTAGTGTTCCATTATTGGAATGCTGAGCTTGTGGGAATTATTTATATCCTGCTCAAGGTCATTGCCAAGGTCTGATTTTTCACAAAAAAAATTTGCAACCTCCAGCATAAATGGGTTAAATTGCTTACAGAATGGCTTGATCCTTTTGATGATTTTTGTTAAAGTTTTTTTTGAGGCTTTCTTTCCTTTTCCTTTTTTTTTTCTTTTTCTTTTTTGAGCAAGCATAGAATAACATTTACTCTAGGACTAGTTTAGCTTTATTTCTAAGTTGTGGTCTTTTTCTGGTCTCTAGTGAGTTCCCTGAAGGTTCAGTGAAATCTTGCAACTCTGGCTTCTTGGGAGTAAAATGCCTGTCAGTCTCATATAAGCTTTAAGATTTATTCAGTTTACAGATGGTGAGTCGTTCCATGCCTCAGCATGGAACAGCTCTCTTGTCTCCGTGTGATATTCCTCCATGAATGCGCAGCTTAATATTCTGCAAAAGACTCAAGGAGGCCCGATGCTGATTTCTGGATCTTTTTTTTTCCTGCACACCTCTCTCCTTTATGAAACTTTGACCAAATTTTGGCTGCTTCAGCCTCCCAAAATTCGGATCACTAACTCTTCAACTCACAGAGAACCACATTTTGTTTGTGTTCTGCCTTCTTAAGTTGTAGTCCGGAAAGTGCTCCTAGGAAGCAAGTGGGGCAATTCTAGAGCTGTCTTTGTTCTGTTTCCTTTCTCTGCATGATCACCATCCTATGCTTCTTATTGTCCAATTATATACATTGTTTCATATTTTTGTAGTTTTCTAATTGTTTGCAGAGGGAGGGCAAGTCTGCTCCCAGTTACTTCCTTATGGCCAGTGATAAAAATCCTCCAGTGATTTACTTTAGATATTTGTGTAGATTTGAACGATGAAGCATTAATTTGTTTAACACAGAAAAGTCTCTACTAGGATTCTCAATCTCCCTTCTTCTCCTACCCATATTAAAGCTATTACTTTGGAAAATTCTTCAACTTAACACCTGGCTATCTGGTTCTAGTAACTTAGACTATATATGGAAAATTGTGTTCTAACTGTTCTATTTGTTTGTATCTTTAAGTCAGAAGCTTTGCAGGGCATTTTAATATTGCATGTGTTTGTGTATTGTAGAGGCTAGATTGAGCTTATGCTATGAAAAAAGTACCCCCAAATTTCAGTGACTTATAGTCTATTTCTCACCCAAGCAAAATTTTTCTAGAGGTCAGATTAACCCTCAGGGGCTCCCAAGTATGCTTTGAATCAATTATCCAGGCTGTTGGAACTTGTGGTCCTGCAATCTCCATGCTTGATTTTCATGCCCACTGCTAAGTGAAGGGAGAACTAGAGTGTCTTTCAGGGTTTTTCTTGCCTCAACCTGGAAGTGAAACATTATCAGTTTCTCTCACAGCCTTTGCTCAGAAATTATTACTTGGCTCTGCCCAGGTTCAAGGGATCTAGGAGATGTAGTCTCCAGGGTGTCCAGGAAGGTGAGAACTTGGTGTTGATGAGTGCTAGTGACGTGTACCACAGTGTGTGTCCATCACCTGAGGCCATGCTTCTCTCTGCTGCTGAAGAGGGCATCTCAGACTATATTGTAAGTCTGTAATCTCTCTGACTGTTCAAAGGACTTTTTTTTTTTTTTTTTTTGAGACGGAGTCTCACTCTGTCGCCCAAGCTGGAGTACAGTGGCACCATCTCGACTCACTGCAACCTCCACCTCCTAGATTCAAGTGATTCTCCTGCATCAGTCTCCCGATTAGCTGGGACTACAGGCATGTGCCACCATGCCCGGCTAATTTTTGTATTTTTAGTAGAGACTGGGTTTCGCCATGTTGCCCCGGCTGGTCTCGAACTCCTGACATCATGTAATCCGCCTGCCTCGGCCTCCCAAAGTGCTGGGATTACAGGCGTGAGCCTTTGTATCTGGCCCCAAAGGACTTTTGTATCCATTATCTTAATATGTCTCCAAATCAATCTGTGAGTTATGCAGGGCAGGCTGTTTTAGACATATTTCCTTGGTTGAGGTATAGTGAACCCAGACACAAATCAAGAAAAAGAAACAAGAAAGAGTCTTACAGTTTTATTATCTCACACTTCCCTGGGGGAGAACAGAGCATGCCGGGCAGGGCCGTTCGGGGGAGAGAAGCACAAGGGTCACAGGGCAGAGAGAGGGAGGGGAACTGTGAACAGGCGACTTTCTCATGGCTTCTGCTGCAAGCAGGCCTATTGTTGGCTAGTTTGAATAACTTCATCAGGCTCTAAGGCATAAGAACTGCTCCTGGCTCTCTGGCACCTGGCCCTGGTATAGTTAGGGAGCCTGTGTAGAGGCCTGAAGTGTGAGAGTCCAACAAAGGATGACGGTTGTGGGTATGGACTTAATTGGCTGCTCAAGAAGGGGAACTTACCAGCCTCTAGCCAGGGCCTAAAACCGGGTCAAGATAGCATTTTAAAAATACTATATTACACAAGTATTATTTATTATCCCCATTTTACATTTAGGAAATTGAGTCACATAGGGGCTAGATCGTTTTCTCTAGGTCATCTAATGATTTCCTGGGGAGCCCTTGAGTTGGAACACAAAAATCTGATTCACTGATGGATATGTTTGAGAGGTTCAAAATATTCTTTCATGAATCACACGACTCAGTCAGGTGCCTGGGTTCCCTTCTTTGTGGCCTCATTTAGCAGTGTTGCTCTTCTGCTTCTCATGTAAGACTGCCATGTGGCAGTGTCCTGGAGGGGCCGCTGGACTCAGAGGAGGTGACTTGTTTCTCCAGTTCTCAGTGAAGTGAGTCTTCATCAAGAGTAAGCACAACAGAAGGTGAGAGCTGATACCGTGATCAAGGAAGCAAGCTTCCAGGGCATGGCAACAATTAGAGCTGGTGGATGAAGTTTTTCCAAGACTAGATTCCCCTAGAATAGAGGTTAGCCTAAAACATCAATGTCATTCTTTCCAGGATGTGTGGCATAGAACCATCACACTGAATGGGGCTTTGGTAGTCTCCAGAAGTAAATGGTATTCCCAACCTATCACTGATCTCCCAAGCAATGCTGTCCAGGGCACCAGTGCTGACTGCACAATCCAGATTTCTGGGAAGAGAAAGCAGTCCAAGACGCTGGCATGCTGTGGGGTTTAGGCCATATGAATATTAACACCTATTTGCAAACACTATAGAAATGCTAAATTGAGTTAATTTCAGTTTTTTGAGTTGAAACACTGAATTAAAAAACAATTTAAATGTCTTACTCTTTTAGAAAAAAAAATCAATGGTTTAAAATTAATTTCATTTTTTAAACTCACTGTTAACTCAATAAAGCCTTTTGGGCTTTTAAAGCTAATTGTCTTTGAACTCATTTTAAATTCAGAAGTCTTTATAATTTTGATAATATTTTAAACACTATCCTCACTAAAGCAGTTCATATTAAACCCTTAGAAGGATATAAAAAAAAAAAAACTAACAAAGCCCTAGTGCAAGAATGATACACACATTTTTGAACCACTTCTCTTATTCTTGTAGAATAGTAGGAGTTATACCATCTTTACTTAAGAAAATAGAATGTGTATATGTATATATATATGTGTATGTATATAGAGAGTGAAAATCTATATATTTATGGAAAAAGTAAAAAGATCATACAATAGAATGATATCCCTAAGGAATAGGAAATATTTATTTTTATGTTTCTATTTTGACTCAATTATTTCCAGCAAGTTTCAAAAAGTTTTATAATTAATAAAACAAATAATTTATAAATATTTTAAGCCCTGAACTAGCTTGGTTTGAATGTGGTCAGGGATTCATGTGTGAATGTGTGAATGGGATTTAAAGCTCTTCTTATCAAGTGGGGTCACATGCTGTGAACGTTTTCCATGCCATTAGTCTTCTACAGCACCATTCTTTTAAACAGTTTTACAATATTCCACTTTATAAATGTAAAATAATTTATTGTTAATTCTTACATTTTAAGTTTAACAGGAACACATGTTCATGGGGAACAATATATAGGTTAGGAAAAGCAACAAGTAAAAGTACTCTCTGTCACTTTCCATTCTTCCATCTCAGGTTGGATACATTTTAAAAAGTTTAATGTGTATTTTTCTAGACCTTTCACTATTTACAAATCAAAAATGTGAGTATGCGATGAAAAGAAAAAGGTTACATTGTTTCTTTTCTGTCCCACACCTTCTTTTAACTATTTCTATTTTCAGTTCTTCTAGTAGTAACCTAGATATGATTTACCAACTTAAAGTATCATTTGTGATTTGCTTAGTATTTGAGAAATTTCCATCACTTATACTACTTCTTTTTCCTTTCAACCTTCAATCATGACATTTTAGTTTAAATCTATTGGTTTATTTTCTGATGTCAAAATTATATTTAAATATCCATTTCTTAACCCATCAACATGCAATTACACCTATTGTTTCTGTTATATTTCTTGTTCCTTTAGGGCCCAGGGTGGTAAACAGGGCAATGGATTCTCCTTTGCATGGCTTTGTTCATACATGCCAGGGTTCTAGCTTGTTCAGTGAACCAACTCTTTCTGCTGGAGCAGCAGACTCTGTGTTCCAACTGATAGAAGACCCACACCAAAAGGAAAGGCAGAGTTGGGAAAATGTGTAGCTCGGGCTCCTGATGAGCCTTTCAGCGTCTTGAATTCATTTAGGACCCAGATCTGACTTCTTCTAGCATATGGGCACAAGGCCCATGAAGCCTTTACAGTGATGACTATAGAAAGTATCTATCTTCTTTGGACACACTGGTGAGCAGGAAGGAGGATCAGCTCAGAAGATCTGGCATCAGATGCTCTTCAATATTCCTCGAATTAATAGCTGTCTCTGGAGGGGGAAAGGTTACCAAGCTAAAAGCCAGGATTTTCTGGAAGTAGTTTTTCAGGAAGCATTATCTCAATGGCCCTATCTGTCAACTTGGGATCACACAGGGTAACAGGCTTTTCAGACAGAATGGAGATTCCCAGACTCCTGCTAGCTCCGGGCAGGGAGGCATTTGAAGGAATGGCACCTGCTATGACTGAGGAGAAAGAGCTGTCTTGCTTACCTTTTGTCTTTTATGAATAATTCTCATTTCTATACGGCACTTCCCAAACACCTTCAAATCCATCCTCAGGTGGATTACATATGATATTCACATTGGTCATACCTAACTCACCCATTCTTCAGCCAGTAAAAGCAAGGTTAGGACACTGACATAGCTGGCATAAATAATCAAGGCTCTCCCCAACCTGGTTTCCACTGTGCTCCAGTTCTTCCAGTTTCTTAACCATTGCTAGTTACCCACTATTTGTTCCAATTTTGCTTTTTATAATTTTATTTTCTATCTTTTACTGTTGTTTCATCATGCAATTTTCCTGTCTCTTTTCTGTGACTCATCTTAATTAAGTCTTTTCAAGGTGTTCAGTTTAGTGTACATAAAAACAACTCTCTTCGTGTTCATCTTTCATTGGTTTATGTGACATTTTATTAAATTACATAATGGCAAGAGTACATACAACTGGCATAAATAGGTTTGGATACAATCACAACTGACATGGCTGAGCATTCAACTCAACTGGTGGAGGTGACAGTGTTAGTATATATCAGAGATTAGCCAACTAGCAGAGAGCTTTGAGCATGCCATGCCATCAGTCAGCATGACTTACCAAAGACATGGAGAATACTCGCTAAGTAAGTAGTTGGTAATGGGCAGAGCAGTTCAGAGAGCTTGTATATCAATGAATTCCACAGAGGTTTGTCTTGGAGTCCTCAGAGCTCTTTCCATATCGTGGAGGATGCTACTCTAGCTTACATCCGTGGGACCTGAGTCTTGATCTGCCTTTGGGGCTAGAACCTTAGCAGATACATTATGGATGGAGGAAGCTATGAGGAATGGTCAGAAGACAATCCCTCTGAAAATGTCTTCCCAGTTTCAGAGCTCCATACCAGGATCATGAAGTTTGGAGGACATAGCTGCAATTGTATCTACTATACTAGGCAAAATAACGGTCCCTCTAGAGATGTCCATGTCCTAACCCTGGCAACCTGTGAATACGTTTGATTTCATGGCAAAGAGGAATTGGGGTTGCAGATAGAATTAATGTTGCTAATCAGCTGGTTTTAAAATAGGGAAATCAACCTGGATTATCCCTGTGGGCTCAGAGCAATCAGAGGGTCCTTAAAAGTAGGAGAGGGAGGCAGAGAAAAATGTAACTACAGGGAAGCTCCAAGACATTTGGTGTCAAAAGGACTTAGCCCTCCACTGCTGGCTATGGAAATCGAAGGAGACCACCATCTAAGAAGAGTGGGCATCCTCTAGAAGATGGCAAGGCTAGAAAGCATTCTCCTCTGAAGCCTCCATAAAGGAAGGCAGCCCTACCCTGACCTTGATTTTAGCCCAGTGAGACATTGCCGCAGACTTCTGGCCTCCAGAACTGTAAGATAATGCGTGTTTTTAAAGTCACTGTTTGTGGTAATTTGTTATAGCAGCAAAAGGAAAGTAGCCTTCTTGCTTCCTTGACTTCCTCCCTCTTCCTAATAAAGGAAATTACATTTAGAAGATTTATTTAACCTAGTATCCAATTTTATAATCCTTTCTTACTCCCTGTTACATTTAAATGCAGTGTCAGAGCTGCTGCTTGTGACTTACAGGAATGTAAAGTAAAGGGCCAAACCTCTTTACAACCAAACATTTACAATGCTTTAAATATCCAAGGAGAGTTTTTAAACAGCAGTTCTGTCATGGATAGAGAAAGAGCAAGAAGCATGAAGTGCTCCACAATGTACACGGCTTAATAAGCCAAGGTGGGTTGGGTGCGGTGGCTCACGCCTATAATCCCAACACTTTGGGAGGCTGAGGTGGGCAGATCACAAAGTCAGGAGTTCCAGATCAGCCTGGCCAACATGGTGAAACCTGTCTCCACTAAAAATACAAAAATTAGCCAGGTGTGGTGGTGCATGCCTGTAATCCCATCTACTTAGGAGGTTGAGGCAGGAGAATTGTTGCAGTGAGGTTGCAGTGAGCTGAGATCGCGCCATTGCACTCCAGCCTGAGTGACAGGGTGAAACTCCATCTCAACAAACAAACATAAAACAACCCCCCCCCCCCAAAAAAAAACCCAAAACAATAAAAAATAAGCCAAGGTGATAAAGAAGCAAGGGGGGAGGGCCCTTCTTTGGAGAAGGGAGGGCCTCTCTGGGGAGCCGGCTTGCCATGCCCTTGTTTTGCCTGGCACCCAGAGTGATCTTGCAAGCAACAGGTGCTGTGAACCTGATCTTGGTCATTGTGGTCTCTCAGCACAGAGCCTCTTCCATTTGGACAGCAAGACTGTGGGGCATTGCAATGCAGAGAAATGTCAAAGAGAATATCCACCTTTAAATCACAAACCATCTATAGAAGCAGAGGAGAGAGCAAAACATCCAGCAGCAGGTGCAAGGTTAGTGTTATAAGAAGGTAGAGGGCTCTTAGGAGGTGAGACTTTTCCCAATGTAGAATCCAGTAGAGATGAGATACCTGCCCAGAAGAATGAGTTATGGAGCAGGGGCGATTAAGTCCTGAATGAATGCCAGCTGGTCAGTGTTTTGAAGTGCAAAAGAGGCTTCACCCTCTGCTCAGGTGTCAGGGTGGCCCAGTGGAAAAGAGATGAGATAAAGAGAAGTGGAAGATGGTGGGGATTGTGGGTGGGGTTAAGAGTGTGAGCAAATACATCTGCTCAGGGACTCCAAGTGGCTCAGGAAGAATATTGAGGAAGATTGTGTTATGGGACATGTCCTGAGTGAGAAGCCTAGGCAAGAAGGCAATTTGTGGCAGCTCTTTAATTCCAAACCAAGAAAATAGATGGTAGTCACTAACACCAGAAAGTCTTTGAGGTTTGTGAGTATAAGGTGACATATGTAAGCATTTTTGAGATATCAAGAATTTAGAGATGAGGCTGGGTAGTGCGGTGGCTCATGCCTGTAATCCCAGCACTTTGGGAGGCTGAGGTGGGCGGATCACCTGAGATTAGGAGTTTGAGACTAGCCTGGCCAACATGGTGAAACCATGTCTCTACTAAAAATACAAAAAAAAAAAAAAAAAAAAAAAATTAGCCAGGCGTGGTGGCGGGTGCCTGTAATCCCAGCTACTTGGGAGGTTGAGGCAGAAGAATTGTTTGAACCCGGGAGGCAGAGGTTGTAGTGAGCTGAGATGACACCACTGCACTCCAGCCTGGGCAACAGAGCAAGACTCCATCTCAAAAAAAGGAAAAAAAGAATTTAGAGGTCAGAGAGAAGTTTACTCTGGTTGGATGTGTGGCTTGGGACAAGGCATCCACCTTGAGACTTGATTTCCTCATTTGTAAAGTCGGATCAATGGTCCTGCCTGTATCCTCAGACTTAAGAATAAAGTGAAATAAAGCTACTTTGTAAACTTTGAAGTAGTTTGCTTAAGTAAGTTATGATTAATATTTTCATTGCTGCTAATATATTCACTTACATTCATACCAGTTCATCAGAATTACCAAAGCTTTAGAATAATGTTTCTGTTTAGGTATTTTACAGCAAAAGAAGGAATTGATTCCTTTAGACTCTGTGACCTTCTATAGTTATTATCTAGCTGTTTTCTTCCTCTTGCCCAAATTCCATGTTTCTACTTTCTCATCCTCCATTCATTCATCTGTCCACATCATAATGGCTTATATACCCTTGTAATTTATTAAAATTGCTTTGGATAAGGTCATTAATGATCTTCTAAGTGTCAGATTCTATAATAATAGTAATAATAATAAAATAATAATGATAGCTAATGTTTAGTGAACCTTAATTATGTCTGGTACACTTCTAAGTGATTTACATGTATTAGCTAATTTAATTTTACACTATCCTGTGAAGAAGATACTATTATCAGCCAGATTTTAATGGTAAGAAAACGGACACAGGAAGGTTGTCCCATGCCCATATCACACAAGAAGTGGCAGAGCCAGGATGCAAACACAGGTAATCATACCACAGCATCACACCTGTAACCACTATGCTATGCCACCCCTTCCTTTGGTGCTGTCCTCTGCTAGATGTGGATATTGCCCCCATGAACAATCTCTGGTTGGAGATGGGCATTGAAAAGCGAGTGGGCAGGTGTCATAAAGCAGTGGAGATAGCCGAGAAAGCAATGAGCTTTAGGGATGCTCTTGACATTGAGAATTCTGTGGCATTGGCCAGGGTAGGCAGGCTCTCTAGAGGTCCTTGCTTTGGGGCTGTGACGGCCAGTGTAGAAGGGCTGGCTGAACAGGCTGGAATTTAGGGAGCCAAATAAATCTTAGGTGGGCATTTGGATGTAGAACTGGCAGGCGGCTGGGAGTCAGTTCCTTCAGATCTGGAGCACTGGAAGGGCCAAGAGGAGGGTGCATGGTGGACCTTGGTGAAATGTGACTTTTAAGGCCTCTTTGTGGCACTTTGGAGGCTTGAGGGTCCGTGGCTTCCTAGTGTGTGAGTGTCCCTGTGTTTTCCTCTGCCTCTGTGATGAGGATACATGGCTAACATGCGGTGGTCCACATGTCTTCATGACTGGGATTAAAATGGCAAACTGGGTATTCTAATAAAATAGACAGTCCCTTCTCAAACTCTATGTAGCTTCCTCTCAGCCTCCACAGGGATACAGTGAAATTAGAGAGAAAAAGCAGAGCGCATTGCAGCCTGCCCGTGCAGAGGTCTGCATCCTACAGAGATGTGAGAACACAAAAGGGAAGAGAAAGGCACACTTGAGAATGTTATTTTGAAGGAAAACCCTCAAAAGTGAAATAAAGCTTTAATCAACTAGAATCCAGATGTGTTAGCTTGTCTGTTCTGTGATAAGTTATTTTTTTCAGATGTGCATAAAGCAATTTGCCACTCATAAATTTGATGAGTCAAGACACAATCCCTTAAAACACAATATTTGAATAATTTGCCTGTTATTGTGCAGAAATCACTTAGTAACTATGTAAAGTGAGACTCGATGATAGAAGTAGAAGTAATCCTGGCATTCTAAATCAATAAAGAGAAGAGCTAAGAGAGGACTCTGGGCTCCTGGAGCAACCTGGTGCACTGTTAGTTGTGGATGTTGTCATGTGCTGTGTCTGTGTGTGTATGTGTTTGTTTGCATGTGCATGTGGATGTGAACATGTGCTGGGTGACAACACCTCTGTTTGCCTAGAGACATTTTATTTTGTCAACAGAATGAAAATAATTTGACTGTGACAATCCTTTCTGCACAGAAAATTTTGATTGGTCTTTGTCTCCAGAATAAAGGACCTTATCTCTCTGGAAATCTTACAGTTACTTAGTTTACCCAAAAGGACAACAAACAAGACAGTGTCTACTTTGGGAGCCCAGTTTCTTCCATGAGTTTTTTTTTACCTCCTATGAAGATCCACACCCATGTTAGGAACATAGCTGTGGTGTTTTGCTAAAAGTCCCTCAATCTCTATTCCCTGGGCAGAGACTGATTATACACCATTATCCTTTTCACTCTCTTCCTTTTGCTAATAGAACATGACCCTCACCCTGACTTTAAACTGGGAACATGGCTCACGTCCACCCAGATAGAGGCTGATTGCTTGGCCTCCTACTGTCTAGCTGTGGCATGTAATTAAATTTTTAGCCAATAAAGTAATAATGAAATTGATGTATGCAAACTTCCAGGTAGAGTTTTCATCATGAAGCTCTGTGCATTTCACTCTTTCTTTCCCTCTCCTCTCTGGCTAGGAAATGGCAATTGAAGCTATTCCTTTGGATCCAGAGATGGAAGCCACAGGTTAAGGATGGCAGACCTCCCAACCTTCCTGACTGTTCGGTGAGAGGGAAAGACACATTTCTCTTACTTAAGCCTCTGGATTTTGGATCTCTGTTATACAAACTAAACCTGTAACCTAACTAAGACATGCTCTAAAAAATCTATATGTAAGCTTATTTGCATCCTGAAATATTCTGGTTGACATCTCCCCAAACAGCTTAGATTTGCTTCCTGAACACCAGGCAGAGACTGGTGAGAGCACAGCTCAGGACACTGTGGTTTGTCTAAACGATTACTCCTTGGAGAGTTAAGAAATGGAATTCATTGCAGTAGCTGGGAGAATGCTATCCCAGAAATTTACACATAAAATGCTTTGTTGTTGCTGCTGGTTGAATACTTTTTATTTTTATATAATTTCGAATTGATAGAAAATGTACAGAAAAGTTGCAAGAATAGTACCATGGCTTGTGCAAACCCCTTTTCCAGATTTACCAACTGTATATTTTGTCTAATTTAATTTACCCTTCTCTTTTATCATGCGGTATTTGGTTTTCTGTTCCTGCATTAGTTTGCTAAGGATAATGGCCCACAGCTCCATCCATGTTCCTGCAAAGGACATAATCTCATTCTTTTTATGGCTGTGACACATTCCATAGTGCATATGTACTACATTTTCTTTGTGTATGTGTCTATTTGTATAGCAGTTTTTTTCTGAATCGCTTGAAAATAAGTAGACTGTGTTTCACATTCTTGAAGTTTTTGAAAAGCACAACCAAATATTTGTAGAATGTTCCTCAGTCAGGATTAGACTCGTGTTGTGCATTTTGGCTAAGAATGTCGTAGCAGTGATGTTGTGCCTTCTCAGTGCCTCCTCTCAGGAGCCAAGCAATGCCTGTTTATCATTTTGATCACTAGGTAAAGGTTGCAGCCACCAGATTTTTCCATTGAAAAGTTACTCTTTTATTCTGTTTAATTAGTAAATAATGTGTGGGCAGATACTTTGAGATCTTGTAAATATTCTGTTACTCATCACACTTTCATGAGTTTTAATTAAAATCCATTGGTGATTTTATGCACTAGGAGTTTTAAAATGGATTTTCTTGGAAAAGGTGTATCATCTCAAAAGGAGCTTAGATCTATCAAACTTGGAAGAAAGAGGCCTGGAGTCCAGTTTAGCCCAACAACCTCAGACAGATCTTTCAGCTTGACTTCCTCTTTTGTAAAATGAATAGGTGGAGGGGTGGTGTTCTTGGGTGAAATGGCTCCTATCATTCTTCCAGGTCTCCAACTTTTTATTTATTTATTTAAGCTTTAATTTTAGGTTCAGGGCTACATGTGCAGGTTTCTTATATAGGTAAACTTGTGTCACAGGTTTTTTTTTTTTTTTTTTAACAGATTATTTCATCACCCGGGTACTAAGCCTAGTACCCAATAGTTACTTTTTCTGATCATCCCCCTCTCCCCATCCTCCACCCTCAACTAGGTCCCGGTGTCTGTTGTCCCACTCTTTGTGTCCATATGTACTCTTCATGTAGCTCCCACTTATAAGTCAGAATATGTGGTACTTGGTTTTCTGTTCCTGCATTAGTTTGCTAAGGATAATGGCCTCCAGCTCCCTCCATGTTCCTGCAAAGGACATAATCTCATTCTTTTTATGGCTGTGACACATTCCATAGTGTATACATACACCATTTTCTTTATCCAGTCTACTTTTGATGGGCATTTAGGTTGATTCCATGTCTTTGCTATTGTGAATAGTGCTGCAATGAACATACACATGCATGCATCTTTATGGTAGAATGATTTATATTCCTTTGGGTGTATACCCAGTAATGGGATTGCTGGGTCGAATGGTAGTTAAGATTTTAGCTCTTTGAGGAATTTCTACACTGCTTTCCACAATGTTTGAGCTAATTTGCACTCCCACCAACAGTGTATAAGCATCCCCTTCTCTCTGAAGCCTCACCAGCATCTGTTATTATATTTTTTGACTGTTTAATAATAGCCATTCTGACTAATGTGAGATGTTAGCTCATTGTGGTTTTGATTTGCATTTCTCTAATGACCAGTGATGTTGACCTTTTTTCACATGCTTGTTGGCTGCATGTATGTCTTCCTTTGAAAAGTGTCTGTTCATGTCCTTTGCCCAATTTTTAACGGAGTTGTTTTTTTCTTATAAATTTGTTTAAGTTCCTTATAGATA
The DNA here is from genome assembly GCF_000001405.40 of Homo sapiens. Classification (NCBI taxonomy): domain Eukaryota; kingdom Metazoa; phylum Chordata; class Mammalia; order Primates; family Hominidae; genus Homo; species Homo sapiens. The sequence goes on along the minus strand of NC_000002.12, from coordinate 22,920,310 downwards.
CAGGACATTAGTAGGTCTCCAACTTTAAGGTTCTAGTGTTTGTGAACAGTGACACTCCTGGCATCCTAGTGAGAATGGTTCTTTGAGGCATGAAATTATCACAGTCTTTGTAGGATCTTTAGCATTCCTGGCTGCTGTTTACTAAATTCCTAGATGTTTTCTGCAACAGAGAGGCTTTTAAAAATGACTATGCATTCTTTGGCACTCTTCCATCAACAGGTGGGTCCTATGTCGTTAAATCTAGGTGCACGTGTGCCTGCTTTGGCCAACGTAGTGCAGTGAAAGTGATACTATGTAACTTCTAAGGTTTGCTCATAAAAGGTCACATAGCTTCTTCCTTCTTTGCCAGAGCCCTAATCTTGGAGGCCTGAGACACCATGTTAAATGTCAGCTACCCTGAGGCTGCCATGTTGTGAGGAAGCCCCATCAATAGACGGAGGTCATAAATACATTGGCCCTGACCTCATCTAAGTTCCATCTTTGAGTTATGTTGGTCTACCAAATTCGTGAGTGACAGAGTCTCCAGATGATTCCAGCCATTCTTCATTTATCTGAGTAATTAACAGCTATTTGAATCTTCCTAATTGAGATCCCAGATAATGTGGAGCAGAGAAAAATCTATTCCCAATGTGCCTTGTTTGAATTCTAGGCCCACAAAATCTGTGAGCATAATACAGTGGTTGTTTTATGCCATTTTAACTTGGGGGGATTGCAGCAATAGGTTAGTGGAGTCCCTGTCTGCTTCTTATGGGACTGTATCACCCTTGGATGGGAGCCACTGCAGATTCTAGCCTAATGCTTTCTCTTTCTACTGCTTATCAAGAAAATATATTTTAAATCAAAATATTATGATAAGATGAGTGTGGTCTGTCTCACCCGTGTCCTCTAAGGGAACAAAGTTATGATTTTTGTGGTTTTTGGTAATGTCAGCAACCCTGAAACTTTAGCTTTATTTAATCTCTGAAGTTTATAAGGAACCATGCCATATTTATGGAATATTGATAACTTCCAAACAATAAGTCTAATAAAAAATATCAGTTATACTCTGCTTTAGGAGTAGCTGTGATTCTGAAAAAGCGGTGATAAAATGAATTCTGTAGTGGGAATCATATTTCTCCAGAATTGCACCTTATACATTTGGAGATGTGTTCCTGAGTCTTCTATATTCTTGCTTTGACATTGAAGACTGGGTGGCATTGAGAGGGGAGATGAGAGCTTGTGCGTGATCCTTGCCTTGATTTGACAAATGTACCTAATACTGTGATCTCCTTCTCCTGATATTTAATGGCTGCCAAACCTGAGAGGGAAGCAGAATTCTAAACTTTTTTCATTCATTCATTCATTCATTCATTCATTCATTCAAAAAGCTAGGAATTGTACTAGGTTTTGGTGATAGAGCTTTGAAGAAGGCAGACATCATTCCTATCATGAAACTTACATTCACTCTAGTAGGAAGGACAATGAAGAAGTAATTTATAAGTTTGGTAAATATGAAAAGACTGTGCTTCTCAAACCATCTGTAGCAAAAGACCTGTTTTTTAATCTTTCTTTCTTTTCTTTTCTTTTTTTTTTTAAGACGGAGTCTTGCTCTGTTGCCCAGGCTGGAGTGCAGTGGCATGATCTTGGCTCACTGCAAGCTCCGCCTCCCGGGTTCACGCCATTCTCCTGCCTCAGCCTCCCAAGTAGCTGGGACCACAGGCGCTCGCCACCATGCCTGGCTAATTTTTTTGTATTTTTAGTAGAGATGGGGTTTCACCGTGTTAGCCAGGATGGTCTCGATCTCCTGACCTTGTGATCCGCCTGCCTCGGCCTCCCAAAGTGCTGGGATTACAGGTGTGAGCCACCACACCCGGCCTAATCTCTATCTATCTATCTATCTATCTATCTATCATCTAGCTATCATTTTTGATTTCCAGTCTGTCACAGATGAATACATCCTATCACACATGATTAGAACAGAGTTTGAGCCAATGCAATTTACCACCTAAATCTGACAATACTCAGACTGGTCTATACCCTATTCAAAAAGATAAATCCACAGATTACTTTCTTAGCCATAACAATGGCAAATTGCTAAACAAGTATCTATGTGTTTACTTCTCACTTCTGCATTTATCTTGCTATAAATCAGTGGCAAATTGTTAGCACACTGGCTGTCGTACATAGACCACATGGAGTAGCGCAACTGCAGAGAAGTAGTTTGTAAAAGGACATCATGTTGTCAGTTGCCCTTCTTCACAGCTTTCTCACTCAAAATGAGAAAATTGGTGGTAGTTTTCTCACAATGCACAAACTGTCTTTTATGTTCCAACTTCTTATTCTTTAATCCTAGGCTGATTCCAGGAGAACTGATGAGCACAGGCTGGAAGTTACCAGTTTATCTCTTAGAATCTACTATTTGCTACATGGACATGCAGGTTCTTTTCACACCATTTCCAGTATCACTCAATTCAGGGCCTGATCTGGATGCAGAGTTGACGTGTGGTGTTCCAAGGTCCCATCTACTCAGTGTTGATATAATGACTGTCCAAGGTACAGTGTTCTCTGGAGGGTCTAAGGAAGGAAGTGCTTCTTAATGTAGTTTTAAAACACTCTTATCATGAATTCTCAGAGATATTATCTGAATTCTATAGGTAAAGAAATGGTCACATATTAACTGAGGAACTCTTTTGGGTGAGCAGATAAGAAAAGAGACACTCAAATTGTGAATGCTTTTTTCCCCCTGGATTTTAAAAACTGGAAAATAAAACCAATATCCAAGTTTGAAAGATGGTAGCTCTTTATGACCTAGAATTTCTTAATAATTTGAATTATAAATATTTTCCTTTTAAATAATTTCCCCTTAAAATTAATCCAAAAGGCAATGGCTTGTACAGCAGCTAAGTATAACATTGTTCTCAAAACTTAGCTAGCTTTGTGTAAAATGAGGGAACGGATATGATCTGCAGACTCTATCCACCAGTTTGATGTGAGAGGATGTCTTTGGGAGCATTCAGGAGGTGCAGCCTCTGGGGAACATCACATGGCCCCTCTACCTCTCATGGGAGTCTGGCAACACAGCAGAACTTTGCAATAGAGCAGAGAAATCAGCTAATCATTGACTCTTGTCAGCTGTGGAGGATATTCAGTGAGGAGTTGGAGCTGATAAATAAAGTCCTGCTGCTTGTGTCCAGGGCTATGTGTTCGAAAAGAAAAATTCACTCTCATCTATTTAAAACAACAACAAAAAACCAAAGCGCAAACAACCACCACCATCTTCCAAACCAAACAAGAAATAAAGAATCCACCTAAGAGTTCTTTCTCCTGCTTTTCCTTCAAAATACTAGTGTTTATTTAATAGACCCACAGCCCCAGGATGGAAACAAACAGATCAATCACTAGGGTGTTCCATTGTGCCCATCATCCTGAAGTCCGTTGATGGTATTTATCTGAGTCTGAAAGTCATCACACGGGGCACAGGTGCAGCTGATGCAGCATGACATTGGTGCTATATAAAGAGCTGTGATTGACGGCAAGAAGGTAGAGGAAATTATGCCGTTGCACTCCAGGCAGCCAGCTCACCTCCCAGCCCTCCTGCTACCCTCTGCCTTGCCAGAGTCATCTCCTGGTCATGGCCACCATGTCTCATCATTGACTTCAATAGTATTAATAGTTGGCACTTTGCTTGCCTACTGCTCTGCCTGTGTGCAAGGCTGAGATGAATATCTAATGGACCCCATCTTTGTCTGCTGGGGTGAGCTCATTCTTGTGCTGCTTTCTAGCTTGTAGCTGCTCTTATTTCTCAGATGGGATACAAGTCTCCACAGGTAAAGGGTCTGCTTATATTCAGAAGACAAAGACCAAGGCTTGAGATTAATGAACTAAACAAAAACTCTCATGCAAACCAGGAACTTAGGGATGCTAAAGGCAGTGCCATCCTTCAACATTTTCATTATTGGGAGGATAACTGCCTGTCACAAGGGAGCCAAAGCAAGCTAGAACTCTATGGTGCTTCACTAAATGAAATGCCACACAAAACTTAAGCTTGTCTAAATCATGCTGGTGGGCCTCTGCTTGAGTCGAAGGCCACTCCCTGGGGATGTGGGCAGTACCACTCTGCAGAAGGAAGAGTAGCCAGCAACATTTTGGTAATGAGCAAATAGGCTCTACCCACCCTGAGTTTCAGAGTTGAAGCTCTGTTAGGAGCCTCTGTCTATAGATTGTGCCCTTTGGGAAGCACTTGTGTGCTCTTAGAACATGAAGGTTTATATAGAAAATTTTGCAGATGTTCACAACCCCAAAGAGACTTTTTTCCAACCAGAAGGGAAAACACATTGCTGAAGTTGTCAGGTGTGGTGTGCATGGGACAAGCATGGGCTGGAGGCTATGATACCTTGATTCTAGGTATTGCCACAGGGGACTTGATGACTTACTAGTAGGGTAAAGTGAAGTCCATTAGGTATGTCTGGAAAAGGAGATCACAAATGCATTAAGCCAAAAGAGATAGGAGTGATGATAACACTACTCTTGAGCCCTCTCCTGGCACCAGTGTCCTAATCCATGAAGGGCACACAGTCCAAATCACAGAGTCCTGAAATTGTTGCAATTCCAGCTCAGTCTAGACCAGTATCATTTTTCTTATCTATAAAATGGACTGATTTTGATGTCCCTAAAAACTTGCAAGGTAATTCATTAGGTTTCATGGTCACATACAACTATGACATTGAGCAAGGTGGGTGGGTCATGTGTGCTCGTGTATTTGGGGTGGGGTTATGAAAAGGGTTAGGTGCCCCATAGGACTTTGAGAGGGGAACTGGAAACTTCAACTGTGTTACCGAGGTGAGTGCTACAGTGAACACATCACAAAGCTTACCCAGGGCATGCCTTCAGAAAGATGGTTTTCTCAGGGGTGAATACTGTGATATCGTTTAAAGTAGGATATTCTTTTATTTATTTATTTAGTCTTTACTTTTTACACTATTTCGTTCAGTCATTCAACAGATAATGATGTGTGTGCACAGTTGCCAACTCTGCTTGCTAGGGTATGTATGAGGCCTCCAGCTTAGGTTCTTTTGAAAAGTTTATCCTATTCATTAATTCGTCATTCATTCATTCAATAACATTCTTAACCTATAGAGTTTACGTTCTCCCTTTAGAAGAGAAAAACAAGCAATTCTTTGCCCAGGTTCTCTGGTCTGGAGCTGGGATGATTTGTGGCTGCTTAGAAGATAACCTAAGCTCTAAAACCATCTCAGAGCCAGACAGAAGACTTGCCTGTCAGGGTCCTGTGGAAGGGCTTTTCATAGAGGCCCTTGAGGAGATAGGTTAGGAGGAGGAGAAGTGATTCATAATTTTTAAAAACATTTTCTTATATTTTTTATTTTTGTGGCTACATAGTATATGCATATATTTATGGGTTACACAAGATGTTTTGATATAGGCATGCAAATGTGAAATAAGCACATCATGCAGAATGGGGTATGATTATCCCCTCAAGCACTTACCCTTCGTTTTACAATCCAATTATACTTTTTAGTTATTTTAAAATGTACAATTACGTTATTGACTATAGTCACCCTTTTACGCTATCAAATACTAGACTCTATTCATTCTTTCTATATTTTTGGTACCTATTATCATTCTCACCTCCTTTCCTACTTCCCCACCCTTCCCAGACACTGGTAGCCATCCTTCTACTCTCGATTTATCTCCACAAGTTCAATTGTTTTGGTTTTTAGGTCCCACAAATAAGTAAGAACATGTGATATTTATCTTTCTGTTCCTGGCTTACTTAATAGAATGACCTCCAGTTCCATCCATCTTGTTGCAAATGACAGGATCTCATTCTTTTTTAATAGCTGTATATTACTCCATTTTATATAAGCACTAAATTTTCTTTATCCATTCATCTGTTGATGGAGATCTAGGTTGCTTCCAAATTTTGGCTATTGTGAACAGTGCTGCAACAAACATGGAGTATCTCTTTGATGACTGATTTCCCTTCTTTTGGGTATATATCCAGCAGTGGGATTGCTGGGTCATATGGTAGCTCTATTTTTAGGTTGTTTTTGGGAACATCCAAACATTTCTCCATAGCGACTGTACTAATTTATATTCCTGTACATGGGTTCTCTTTTCTCCATTTCCTTGCTAGCATTTGTTATTGACTGTCTTTTGGATATAAGCCATTTTAACTGGGGTGAAATAGTACCTCATTGTAGTTCGATTTGCATTTCTCTGATGATCAGTGATGTTGAGCACCTTTTCATACACCTGTTTGCGATTTGTATGTCTTTTAAGAAATGTCTATTCAAATATTTTGACCATTCAAAAAAATCAGATTACTAGATTTTTCTTCTATAGAGTTGTTTGAGGTCCTTATATATTCTGGTTATTAATCCCTTGTGAGAAGGAAATATTCCAAATATTTTCTTCCATTCTGTGGGTTGTCTCTTGACTTTGTTGATTACTTCCTTTGCTGTGCAGAAGCTTCTTAACTTGATGTGATCCCATTTGTCCCTGTTTACTTTGGTTGCTTGAGCTTGTGGGGTATTACTCATGAAATGTGTACCCAGACTAGTGTCCTAGTGATTTCTTCCCTTATTTTCTTGTAGTAGTTTCATAGTTTGAGTTCTCAAAGTCTTTCATCCATTTTAATGTGATTTTTGTATATGGTGAAATAAAACATTTTCATAGATGTTTTACAGTCATATGCCTGTAAAACCTGTATACCTAAGTAAGCACTAAGCAGAAAGAGTGGAGTCATTGTGTCTTTGAGTTAACTTTGCTATTACTAATGACACACCCTTGTTATTGTTTACCTTGTATTATCAACCCTATTTGTTTCCATTACCCATTCTTCAAGCTTTAACTTGTGTGCCCCCTCTTTCAGCAAACACCCTGATTATAGCAGCTCGATTATATACAACCCATCTGAGGGGGCTCTACACCTCAGTATCTGTCTACACATTTCATGGAGGCCTTGAGGGCTTCATAATTCCAAGAAGGTATATTGTCTCTCCATGTCTAGACTCTGGCCTCTTAGGAGAGCAAGTATTAAGCATTGTTCTTCCTGCCCCTTTCTTGAACAGTGAGCACATTGTTCCCTGAGTACTGATGACAATGATACTTCAGAGGCCAGGCCAACTAACTACCAGATTGGTATTTGGACCAGACTGTGAGGTTACCTCGATAGGGCTTTCTGCATATGTTAAAGGACTTAATCTGTGCAACAGTTGAGGCTCAACTTCAGCTGTTTCCACACTTTATGTTTTGTCCTTAATGGTGCCCTTAGGGCTCTTGCTCCCATCTCAGCAGATTTTCCTGTAGGAAATTTACACGTGTCAATTTGCCTGTAGATACTGCTATGGTGTCACAATTGCGACTTGATGAGAACAATTTTTTTAAATGAAACAATCGTGGTGATGAGCTTCAGCTTCCTTCTGCCAGCCAATACAGCTGGGATGTGTGGCAGTGTCCCCTCACATACGCACACACAACCCAAGGGTCCAGCTTCCTGGGTGCTCTAGGAGCCACTGGAGCTCCCTTTGTAAGCCGTTCCTCCCTTCCTGAGTTAACAGCAGTGTCCCAGATACATGCATAACAGGTTTCCAATTTATTTCTTTTCAACAGCCCTTGGCAAACATTTCTTCCCCCCTTCCTCTTTTTATTGCTTGCCTTTACTTTATCTGCTAAATCCCTGCTTCTGGCGCTCCAGCTGCCTTTACAGCACCTGCCTTTGTTAATATCTCCGTGTTGTTGCAGTTGCTGCCCCTGGGGTCTTAATGAGGAGCAGGTGGATATTATCAGGTCACTTTCAGGAAAGAGGATGGAAAGGGAATCTATTACCAGCAAAGGAATTATATAGGTTATCTCATTTAAAACCATCCTCATGCAGTAAATATTATTTCCCTGACTTTATGATGAGAAAACCTATCCCCAGGAAAGCCCCCATATGTCATTCTTTTGAAACTCCCTGTAAGAGTCAATCTCTCTTCTGCTCAAGTTCTTTCAATGGAGTTCTATTATCTACTACAGAATAAAGACCACATTCCTTAGCCTGATACTCAAAAATCCCTCAGAACCTAGGCCCAATCTACATTTTTTTCTCCTAATGCTCACTACTTTATTAACACTCAGCTATAATCAAATTGAGGTTTTTCCCTTTTTACATAGTACCAAAACCTTTCTCACTTCTATATCTTTTCCCCTGTAATTCCTCCCTTTATAGTTCCCTCCTGAAACCACTTTATGTACATATACAAATAATGCTTAACTTTTAAGAAGCTTGAAAGTCACGATCTCCAAAAAAAGAAACCACCCACCTCCTCAACTGAAGTTGCCACTGCCTGCTCCCCGTAAGCTGGTCTTTCCGTGTAGCCCTGTCGTGCCATACGTTGTGTAGCCCTGTCGTGCCATACGTTGTGTAGCCCTGTTGTGCCATACGTTGTGTAGCCCTGTCGTGCTATACATTGCTACCCCATCTGAAGCTGTGACCTCCTTAAGGTGAGAATCATGTCTGATTTTAATTTATCATCTTGCAGTATGGACAACTTTCTCACCGTTGATGTTTAAAAAAAGGTTGTTGCATTAATAATTTTGAGAAAGTCACGCTATCTTCTAACTACCATCTTTCTCTGTGGTTAATAATTAGTACTAATTCAGATGCTTCTGACTAAAATGTATAAAACACAAAAATTAGTGCTAAACAATTAGCATTCTGAACATTTTGCATAATAAGGCTAATTCTTTTATACTTCCTAAATGGTTTATCTTCAGTGACTGTCTATTTGGTTAAATAGACATGTTCTGCTTTTTAGCAAAATTTGAAATTTCAAAATAGTTTTAAAAAATTTTCTCACAATAGAATATACAAATTTGTCTCAAAGTAATCCTTTTCCCCATAAACAATGCATGGTTATGCAAAAAATGTAAAAATAAAATATGAAATATGCTTGTGAAGAACTCGTAAGAGTTAACTTAGCTCTCTTGACCCACATTCCACTGTTCATTTAATCATTCATTTGATCAACAAGCATTTATATTCTCAGACGTGTATCTTTGCCAAGTTTCAGACCTGTCCATTCAGTTATCAACTCAGCAACTCTACATGAGTGATCCATGGCTCTCTGGAATCCCAGATACTGAAAATTGAAATTTCAATCCCATGCCCCTGACCAGCAGCCAAACCAAGTCACATACAATCTATTCTGCCTGCTCTGTCTAAATCAAAGACCAGTACCTGTGCCATCTCTTTAGTAAATCTAGTAATTATCCTCTATTTTACTTCTCCCCTCTTCTTCCTCAATTCTGTACAACCAGTCAATTATTCGGAACTGTTGTACTGTAGAAATATCTGTGATATATTACTCATTTTTTTACCTCCACAGTTATTACTTGTGTGGACTTTTCTTGAATAAAATTTTAAAATAGTATTATTAAGAATAAATACAATATACAGTGTCCTGATAACACACTGGTTTCTTTATATATGTTATCTCATTTAACACAAGAACCTCTTTAAGAAAGGTATTGCAAACAAAATGTTTCTTTAAATGAGGAAACTGAGACTCAGAAAGTTGAACTGCCTAAGGTTTCATAGCTAGCAAGTGGCAAATGGGATTTAAAATCAGTATTTGTGACTCCAAAGTCTAATTTCTTTTACTATATGTTGCCTCTAAGTGAAGAAAATACTAGTTTTGATTTAAAACATTCATTAGTTTATTCAGCAGATGCACTGAGCATGGATACGTGCTGGGCTCTGATGATACCATCGTGGTATCTGTTGATACCATAATGAATCAGGCTCTGATGACACCGTGATGGATATGTTTCTAGAGGAACTCCTGGGATCATCAGGATTAGCAAGACTGTGCTGCTGAAACAAACACCTCAAACTTCTCAGTCACTTAAAAAACACGAGCTTTAGTTTTCACACACTGCTTGCCTATTGATGGTTGGCTGGGGGCTGTACTGTTTCATCCACCTCTTCTCAGAGCCCAGTGTGATAGAACCACCACTTTCCGGAACATGGCTGGTTACCTTCACAGTGAAATAGTACTTTGAGGAAGCAAGTTCTGGCTCTCAAAGTTTCTAACCAGGAGTGTTGTTATCTGGTTAGAAGCTCATACTTCATTGGCCAAAGAAAGTCATATGGCCACAGGCAGAATTATCTTGGGAAGAGCAGTATATATTGTTGAGCAGTAATATAGCTTGCCACTAATATAGCTTAGCAAATATATAAATATTTAAAAGTTGGTCATACACATGCTTTTGCGAAAGGAAGTTTTAATCTCCTCTCCCTTCATCAGCAATGTCCCAAGGAAGAAAACCTTACTAATATAATTAATCAGACTTCAAGGCACTGATTGTGCCTTCTGGCACTTCCTGTTGTCCTGAGTTAACATACCTGCATGGAGCTGGTCCTTAGGAAGGGGCTGGCTATGTCACTCTCTCTGTGTTCTGCAGTATTTTATAGAATCGGCAACCCAAGGTTGCACCTTCTTCGATGCCTGACCATTTCCTTTTCTCTTTGCTTTGATCTTTCTTTCTTTATGTGTCCTCTGTGACGGTGGTAAGAGGCAAAGTTTATAGTTCACAGCAGTGGGAAGAAAGAAATAGGAGGCCCTATCTTGGGCTTGAACTAAATCCATTTCTCTAACCCAGCTTTTCATGGGGCTCAGTGCTGGGTGCATGCACTCTTTAAGCTGATAGCGGTGACTTGTTTCCTGTTTGGCTACAGTTCTTTGAGAGTATTTCTCACAGAATCCCATCGGGGAGAAGCATTGATTAGTAGAATTCAGTTTTTCTTTTTTGGACCCTCGCCTTTATATCATCAAATTCCCATCACTATCCATGAAACAGGCTGATGGAGGCATATGCACATTTTATGGATCACAGAGAAAAACAAATGACCAATATACCGTGCAGGTAGGTAAGTCAGGGAGGGATGAATTCCCTAGGTCTTGAAGAATGAGAGGAAAGAGTAGGACAGAAGGAACAGAAAATAAAGAGTCAATAAAGAGCACAGCGTACTATGTGAATGACATGTGAATAAGATGGATTCAGAGCAAAGGCTTTGTTGTGGAATTTGTCAAATAACAAGGCATGAAAGACCATATTGTTAAAGGCTATTAGTTATTAAGCATATTAAAGCTCTAATTTTTAAATTTTGGAATCTCTAATACTACACTGCCTAAAAATAGGCACATAATCATTATTCAGGAAATAAATTAGTGCATAAATAACAGTAATAATATCTATAGGATATTCACTGTATGTAGGCATTAGATTATTATGTCTCCCCAAGAACTCAGTGCAGTGAATTACTATTGTTATGCCCATAGTAAAGGTGGGAAAATGAGGCTTAGAGATATTGAAAGAGTTTGATGTATCATACATCTATTAAGATGTCACTCCTGCAATCCAGCTCTTTGGGAGGCTGGGGCAGGTGGACCACCTGAGGTCAGGAGTTCGAGACCAGCCTGGTCAACATGATGAAACCCTGCCTCTACTAAAAATACAAAAGTAGCTGGGCATGGTGGTGTGCACCTGTGATCCCAGCTACTTGGGAGGTTGAGGCAGGAGAATCACTCGAACCTGGGAGGCGGAGGTTGCAGTGAGCTGAGATCACGCCACTGCACTCCAGCCTGGGCGACAGAGTGAGACTCCATCTCAAAAAAAAAAAAAAAAGATGCCATTAGCTGGCAAGTAAAGTTTTCTCTGTCTAAAAATATTTTAAATAATGATTAAAAAGTAAGGAACATTTATTATTTGCCATAAAAAGAATTATGGTAATTCCTTTTAGAATTAATTTTGTGGGTCAATAATGTTATTAGGGCCCCAGGCCCTTTCTACTTTTCCATTCTTGGCCTTTGTGTTTTCTCCCTATGGTCAAAAAATGACTGCTGTAGTTCCAGACATCACATGAAAGCCTGATGATATTAGCTAACAAAAAGGAAAGCTTACTCTTTGCATGTCTTTATTAGGAAGAAAAGAAATCCTTCATAACTGCCCATATTTAGGAGAATATCTCAATAGGCCCTTTGGTGTGGCTGTGAGGGCATGGAGTACCTACAGACAGTAAAACAGAGATAGTTACAATGCTCTGTTTATTGTGTTGGACAAAATTTAGGGTTAGGGCAAGTAGAGAAGTAAGAGAAGGGGAAGTAAAGAGATTGAAACAAAAACGGGTCACAAGTTGAGCAACATTATAGGCGCTAGCACTATTGGAAGTCTAGGTGACTGAAGGAATTTTTTGAGAAGTGTCTTTTAATTTTAAAATTTAAAGTGGTCCTGTGATGTTCTTCTCTCCATTTTTCTGATTCTTTTATCAAAACTGAAGCGTATACAAATTCCGTGAGTTTGTTTTGGAGAGAAAGTAGAGGGACTATATTCCCTGACCTTTGCTGGTATAAAGCTGTGAGTTTAGGTTGATGTTGGGAAGATTTAGAGTTCATTCATTACAGGAACTTAAAGGTGAAGCCCCCAAGAATCATTAGAAATCTTGAGGAAGACAATGGAATTTCCAGAGGATATGAGATAGGGTCTTGGAATGACTTTATTTAATTTTCAAAGGGCAGAAAAGTCTCAGATGGCATGTGGGTCACACACAAAATGCTGCATTAAGTATTTCTAAATGTCAATCTTTGCCTGTATTTCTGATAATTTCCTATGTATAGATTCCCATAAGAGCAATTACTGGCCAGAGGTTGTGGACATGCATAAAGCCCTTGAAATGCTTTGCCAAGTCCTGTGACAATGCTCACTTCCCTGTACCCTTGCCAACACTGAAGGGTGTTGCAATGTTTTAAGAGCTCTGTGTCTGAAGTTTTAAGTGCTGTGCCTTGACCCTGAGAAGCGCACATGTTTTCTTCTGGAAATCTCTGCCTGCTTCCAGCCTCAGCCATTATTCATAGTCTTGGGTGATTTTGATTGTGTTTCCCATTCCGAAGAAGCAGAAAAATGTGTCAGGAGGAGGCAGGGAGGAACATGAGATGAAAGTGAGAACCAGGATGTTTAGAGTCTAACAAAGGTAGAGATAGCAAGCGATGAAGACATAGCAAGTTCTAAGGAGATGAGCCCCTTTCTTGGAAACTGAATATCTGAAAAAAGGATCCTTAAGGATGAGATATCTTACTCTCAAACTTAAGGTTAGGTGATGTCTCCACAGGATATTCTGACCCCACCTTATCCCCACCCCAACCTACCACCTCCATTCTCTGCAAGCACAACACACATACAGTCCTGCGCCACTGTCTGAGGTTGCAAAGCCATTGCTTCGTCTTGTAAATGCAGATTTCTTGGGAAAATTTCATGAAAATTCATTTCTTCTGAGTAGCTTTGAAGGGAGGACCTTGGATGACAAGGAGTTGGGTGAAGTGCTCACTTTGCACTGACCAGCACTCTCTGTTTTAGAAGGAATCCATCTCCATCTTTTGCCCTTGACTCCCTGGATTAGAGGCAGATCTGTTCACAGGAGATAGAATCCAGCACAGCAATGGAGACTCGGGCTGTGTTTGGGCTCCAGGGGGAAAAACCAAATGAGGGATAACACCAGGAACCCTTAGCTAATCAGCTGGTATTATGTTTCCTTTCTATATCCTTTGCTGTATGAGTGCTGTGTGTATCTGGTAGACAGAACAAGGCATGGGAAATGCTGCTGGGAAAACAGATAACTTGAGGTCTTTCCACAGGCAATTTCTGTTATGGTTTGGCAATCTAAAATAGCCTCCAGAGAAAATTCACCAAGCTCCAAAACCTGGTTTGCCTACATTCACTTCATTTAATATATGTACATGCTAGTGAGCATAAGTATAAATGCTGGTGAGATTTGGAAATTATTAAATTTGGGACATCTGTCACTTCAAATGTAATGTCCTCATTGTTATTATCATGCTTATCATCTCAATTTCCCTTAGCATTCGTAGGAGCCCAACTGATTCACTCACAATCCTCAGTTCTATTCCTCAGTCCCCCAGGATGAAGTTCCATGAGGGCAGGAACCTCATCTGTCCACTCACCTTTGTGATCCTAGCATACTAACAAGGCACAAGCAGGCATTCAACACATGCTTACTAGATGAATGAGTGAATGCACGCATGCATAAATAGTGTAATATCATCACTATACCAGGTGCCTATTTCATTTTATTATTTTCCTTTTCAAATTCCATTCCCTTTTTTTCTTCTTGTATCAGCACTCTACAGTGTATTTAATGTACGTCCTTCTAAATCAGCTTATGTGTATATTTAGTTATCTGTATAGCTTAGGATATCTGGTTATGTATATTTTAATTCATATAAATAGCAATTGATGAAAATCTCACTTTTTGTTTTGTTTTGTTTTTTGACATGGAGTCTCGCTCTGTCACCCAGGCTAGAGTGCAGTGGCATGATCTTGGCTCACTGCAACCTCCCCCTCCTGGACTCCAGTGATTCTCCTGCCTCAGCCTCCCAAGTAGCTGGGATTACAGGTACGCACCACCATGACTGGCTAATTTTTGCATTTTTAGTAGCAACGGGGTGTCACCAAGTTGGCCAGGCTGGTCATGAACTCTTGACATTGTGATCCACCCACTTCAGCCTCCTAAAGTGCTAGGATTACAGGCGTGAACCACCGCACCTGGCTGAAAATCTCACTTTTATTTTTTTACTTCATAGTCTCATGTTACTCTATGCAAAACTAGTTGGTGATTTCTCACTCTTGGAGAGTATTTCATAGTGGACTTCCATTATATTTTTGGTTATATTTTCTCTAGTCATGGGTACCTAGTTTGCTGCCAGCTTTCTGCTGTCACAAATAATGTGAACCTGGACATTCTAGTAAAATGTCTCCTTGTGGATCTGAAGAAGGGAGCTTCTCTGGGGTAGCCACTCAGGGGTGGGATGATTTCCAGATCATTGTCTATGTGTATGTTTAATTTCAGTGAGTTCTGCCAGATTGTTTCCAGAATGGTGCCAGCAGTGCATACATATTTATATTTTCAACATTTAGTGTTATCTACTTTCTAATTTTTGCTTATCTGATAATTGCAACGTGATACTTACTGATGACTACTAACTGAGCATCTATAATTAGTCTTTCAGATTCCCTCTGAGTTGCCTGTCTTTATCCTTTACCTATGTGTATTGGTCTTATTATCTTTCTGAATGATATATAAAGAGTCTTCATATAGTTAAATAGTAATTCCTTATCAATATCTTCTTTCAGGCTGCTCCTATTGTGACCTTTGCACAGAGTGACATTTGAGGAACAGAAATCTTTTTGGTTTGCTTTCTTTTCCTTCATGGTTTATGTATTTTGAGTTTTGTTTAATAAAACTTTTTCCATTATAAGGCAGATACCTTTCTAACCTGAGGTAAATACATATTCGACTACATTTCCTCTGTAAATGTAGTACTATTGCCTTTCACAGTCCATTTTTATAATCCAACTATATATCTGAACTTGGTATAGGACAGAGACAGTATCACAAATTAGTGAAAGAATGAATAGGGCATTTAGTGAATATTTGGGAAGAATTAGCTCATATATACACAAATTATAAAAAAATTAAAGACTTAACTGTCTTCCTTTTGCTTTATATTCTATCTTCTGCTATTGATTGTTCTATTTGTTGTCTTAAAAAAAAAAGAAAACAGTGCATATTCTCTTTAGCTACTTCACTTTTCTCTTTGAACTCATCTTTTATACCCTAGGCACTGTCAGCTGCCTTGCTGGCCATCTTGATGGAGGAGCAAACCTTAGGTCCTAGGTTGTTGTGCTTGGTGATTTGGGGAGGACACAGAGCTTCTGGTGTCGACATTTATGCTGGATTGTTCCTTGTGCTCTTTCCAAGAGAATTTCCTAATTTCTCCCTATTCCAGGGCATCCCCCTCTGTGGTACTCTTGTGTGAAGAAAGGTTGGGGTGATGTAAATAACCGCATTCCTACCCTGTGTTGAAGCAAGCCAGAAAGTGATATTCCGGGGGCCGTATAGGGACTCAGAGTGCCAGACCAGCTGTCTTTTAATAGAGCCCTTACCTGCGCCCCCTGGAGGCCACAGTCTAACCTCAACCCCCAAACCTCTATTTTCCCAGAAACTTCACACACATTTTGTTTAGTTTTTGCGTACCTGTCTTAAATCAACAACCTTTCTTTTTCTCTTCTAGTTTCTTCACAGTAGGCTGGGGAGGGTGCCAGCAGCCTGTACTCATTGACCATTATGTGGAGAATTGGAAGCCCATCAGGAATCTGTAACACCAGGCATCTGCTATTGAAGATTTGGGCATATCAAGCATGATTGGGGGATGCTTTATAAGCTTTTACTCTATTAAATTGTTTAATTCAGATTCCATTTACTATCTTTTAAGTTAAAAAGATATCTTTCAATATTTAGTCTTACTTGTTGGACACATAATTATAACAACAGGTTTGTTGGAAATGATAATGTCAAATATAACAGTCATCTTCATGGAATTCTCTGTGCCCATAATTAATCATTAATTTGATCTTCCAGGATTCTTCTAAGAGCAGTTGTGTCTGTGTTTTACTTTACAAATGAAGAAGCCAGAGTGAAGTTGTGAGTCACACACTCAAAGCCACAACAGGTATTGGTGGCACCTCCTAAGGCATATTTGTGGAGGTCTCTGTTAAAAGTCCTGTACTTAAGTGAGAACCTGGGTCTCCTGGTCCAGTCCTGCAGCCATCCTCGGATCTGTTGTTCAGGCTGATGGAAGCTGTGGTCAACATTTAGCTTTCCACAGCAAGAAACTACATGCTGCCTGTATCACCCCCACTTTAGATGTGTGGGGAGAGAGAAGAGGCTAGGAGTGGAAACCCAGACACCTGGTTTCTAACCCTGGACACATGACCACTGGGATGCATCACTCTGGGCCAATGTCATTTTCCCTGGGCCTCAAGTTGCCATTCTGTGAATGAGAGAGGTTGCTCGATGCAGACCTCTTTCCATTCAGCCCTAAAGAGTTTAGGGTTTTGATTGGGGGTGGAGGTTCAAACAGTTCCTGACTTTCATCCTGTTCCTGACTTTCATCCAAGAGAACTGAATTGATTTCCTTTCCAGACCAGAAAGTATCAGTGTCAAAAGTTTACAAGGACTTTTAAAGACAAGCTGGTAGTGCCAAGGCCAAGATTCCTTTTGCCATTGTGTGAGCTTAGCAATCCATTGGGAAAAGATATCTTTTCCTGTATATTCTTGGATTTTCCATGGAAAGGGAAGATAAAGCCTTTTTGCTCCATGTTCACTTTCTTCAGAGTAAGCCTGCCCCAACTTCTTTGGCTCCCTTCTTTCCTGCCTTCCCCCTCTGCTGTCACGCCATCATAACCAAAGGCTGCTTTTGCAAATGTGCATCCTGGCACAGGGCCATTGCCCATAGAAGGTGCTCATGGAATATTGGTTTGTGATGTGCTTATCGATCCCATTTTTGCAGCCATAGTCAATGATTATCAACACTGTCAACAGCTGGGCCGGGTTTTAGATTTGAAACCCAGGCAGGTGTTAACTTTTTAAAGTTCCCTGTTTGTGGAGTGGGTTTGAATAGGGCAGAAGGAGACTGGAGGATATCCAGTGCTAGAGGGAAGGGTGGGATGAGAGAGAGAACTGTGCTGAAAGCCTGCCCTCGGCAGAGGATCTCTGATGTCGGTGGATCAGCAGGGCATAACTAGCGATCTCAGCACCCCATCTTTTTAGGTTGTTGCTAAACCCCCTGCTCTGGCCCAGTTGACCCTGCTCCCTGTCTAGAGGTAAGTGAGAGATAAAGGGGATCTTAAAACTGCTCAGCAGACAGCCACTCCATAGGAGTATCTATTTTCACAAAATAAACTGTGGATTTGTCCTAAGAACTCAGGCAGCAGCGATTGCAGGCTCATCCCTGTTCTCATGCTTGAAGACTTTTTCTCCCAGTAATGAGAGTGCCGAGTGAGCAGACCTTTCCCCGACAGTGCTGGCAGCAGGACAACTTGTGCCCGGGATGGATTTTTCTTCATTGATTCTAATCTTCTTCCTGACTGTCTGTCTTGGCTGCTTTGACATATTGAACACTGAATAGTCCCTGAGTAATTCTTGAACATTTGGGGATCGTTTTTATTTTTACAAGAAAGTAGAAGCCAGTGGGGGTGATTTATACATGTACTTGAAGAAGATGAAGAAAAAAATACAAAGCGATTTCATTCTGGGAATAAACACAGACTCAATGACGATTAAAAACTACACCAAACAAAAGGTTCACACCCAATCTTCAATAATTTTATAATTTTGTAAGGATGCACAGCATCATGTAGAGATGAACAGTAATGGATAAAGGGCTTTCACAGCTGTGACTTCAGTCATGATTGATGAGAAAATGCTACTGGAGAGAGAAAAGGAAAATGAATATTTATTAATGGAATAGTGTCGGGGACTTAAAATCCAAGGAGATCCATCATTTCAAATTCAAGGTTGGAGGCATTCAAAACAGAAGATTCAATACAATGGCCCCATAGCTGAGCTGTGGACTAGAAAAATTCACAGACACTGCTGTCATTCTGACCATGGGGGACTTTCTGGAGATGTTATTCCTGTTTCAGCCCCCGTTAACATCACCAGAACAGGGCAACATTACATGAGTTATAACCCCGAGAATGCTATGGCAACAATTGCCTCACATAGTAGAACACCCAGAGCTTTGTGGTCTGGTCATTCATTCATCCAGATATTAATAAATCATGTCTGCACACGTTCTCTGTATATGGTAGTTACGGTCTCTGTGCCGACAGCTTGGGAGTTATTAGCAAGTTTTTTTTCTTTCATGACTTCGTCAGTTCTCCCTTGAACTTTATAAGGGCCATGTTTAGACAACCAATAGCACATCTTCAAATCTCCTTGCAGATTTTCTCCCCATAAGACCCCTTCCCTGTGCTTGCTCTCTTGGTCAGTTAGTTAATACTTGGAAAAAACAGTTTCCTCTTGGTGAAATATTACTCACCTGACCTTAACATCTTAAAAAAAATTAGAATTGGAAATCCAAGGAAGGCATTGTTGATCCTTTTGTTATAATATTATTTCTCTATGTAAGCAGCTTATTCAGATAATTAACAATACTGATATTGTGGCTTACTGTTTTGACAGGGTAGGAGGAATTGACTGATGGCACTTAATTGCCTAATTTAATTTAAGGGATTGAAGTTGTACTGGAAGTTTCAATGTGTAAATTTCAGCTAATGGGTAGCCCCTAAGCACATCATACCTCCCCATGTAATCATATGCACATAGTGTCTTAGTTCCTTAGGCTTCCTTGGGATACATATTATTTTATTTTAGACTATGGCAATAGTGACTTTTTGGTCCTATAAGTCCATTTACACTAAGCTTTTGAAATCACAGCACAGATAGATGGTCTGGGTCCTTAGACTGTCATACTCATGTTATTCCCATATATGGCTAAATTCTAGGTGGCAAATCTTGGACGTCAGGATGCATACGACAAATAATTTAAAACATATTTAAAACATAATTAAAACATATTAAAACATAATTTTTAAATATGTTTTAAATAACATATTTAAATAACACATAATAAATATGTTATTTAACACATGTTATTTAAATAACACATAATATGTTATTTAAATAACATAATATGTTATTTAAATAACATAATATGTTTTTAAATAACACAATATGTTATTTAAATAACACAATATGTTATTTAAATAACACATAATATGTTATTTAAATAACATAATAAATATGTTATTTAAATAACAAATATGTTATTTAAATAACATGTAAATAACATTAAAATTTATTTAAATGTTTAAATAACATATTTAAATATTTTTTAAATATGTTATTTAAAAAACGTTTTTTAAATAACATAATTAAAACATTAAAACATATTTAAAACATAATTAAAACATTAAAAACATAATTAAATTAAATATGTTTTAAATTATTTGTCGTATGCGTTATGTTGGGAGAAAAGTTGCTACTCTGTTAGACAGTCAGTTTCAATTTGCTGTAAACTATTGATTCTACCAAATCCTTAGCAATGGATGTGGATGAGTTATCACTGTAGGCTATCTTTGGGAGAAGGCCAAGAGAGTAAGAATTATATTGTTATTCCTCTATATCATGTATATTTCCCACTTCCCAAGATAGACTGAGCAGTTTAGTGTTTAGAAAAAGGCTGGACCTAAAGTAGGTACCCAACAAATTTTTGATGAGTTAACTAATTAATACAATTTTTTACTTGGACAAAAATGAATACTAGAATTACGTTCTGCCTGTAAAGGAAAATTCAGACCCACTGATAATTATGCAGCAATGACTAGAAGATATGTATTCAGGGAGGCTGCAAATTTCAAAGGATATCGTTGAAAAAGTCTCTGAGTTGAAGAAAAAGATTAATACTCTCTGCAAAGAGTTGTCCGGGATGGCTACAAATAGAGTTTTGGGCAAGTGAGGAAGAATGATGACAGATAAAGCTAGAAAAGGGTAGTTAGAGGCAGGAGCTAGAAGATCCTGGTTATGTCTGGCTAAAGACTTTCAACTATGTCCTATAAGCAATGAAGCGTTAAGAGTCTATGAGATCAAATTAAGAGATAATGCCCCATCAGATTTGGATTTTAGAAGGATTACTTAACAACCATAGATACATTATGAAAGATGGCAATAATGGAGGAAGACAAAAAGTAGAAGACAATAGCCATCCACTAGAAAAATAGTCATAGTGTTATAAACTTAATTGAGCCCCCCCACTCAATTTATATGTTGAAGCTTTGACCTCCAGTAATGCAGAATAGGACTGTATTTGGAGATAGGGCTTTTAAAAGGTAATAAAGTTGAAATAAGCCTGTTAGGGTGGACCCTAATTCAATCCAACTCATGTCTTTATAAGACGAGGAAGTTAGCACACAAGAGGCACCCCAGGGATGTACCTGCACAGAGAAAAGGCCACATAAGGACACAGTGGGAAGGTGGTATCTGCAAGCTTAAGGGTAGAGGCTTAAGGAGAAACCAGCCCTGTTGAAACCTTGGCCCTGGAATTCCAGCCTCCAGAACTGCGAGAAAATGCATTTATGTTGTTTAAACTACCTGGCCTGTGTGTTGTGGTAGCTGTTTTGGCAGTGTTTACCAAAGAAACAGAACCAATAGGTTATTTTTATATATATATAAAATAATATATTTAAATATATAATATATATAATATATATTATATATATTTAAATATATATTATATATAATATAAAATATAATATATAATAAAATATATATATAAATATATGTATACACACACTATTATATTAAAAATAAATATATCAATATTTATAATAATATGTATAACCAAATGTATATATTTATAAAAACAAATATATATATAGAGAGATTTGTTATAGGAATTGGCTCATGCAGTTGTGGAGGATAAGACATCACAAGATCTGGAATCAGCAAGGCGATGGCCCAGGAGAGCTGATGGCGTAGTTCCAGTCCAAAGGCTAGACGGCTTGATACCCAAGAAAAGTCAGTATTTCAGTTCAAGTCCAAAGGCAGGAAAAAAAATTATATCTTAGATCAGCAGTCAGGCAGAGTCAGCCTTTCTGTCAGATGCGGCCCACCTACATTGGGGAGGGCAATCTGTATGACTCAGACTACATGTTAATTTACAGTCAAATGTTAATTTTTAATTTAATTTTAATTAACAGTCAAATGTTAATTTCATCCAAAAATATCCTCACAGGAATACACAGAATAACATTTTACCAAAGACCTGGACACCCCATGGCCCAGTCAAGTTGACACACAAAATTAAGCATGCCAGGAGCCCTTGCAAATGAATTCAAATAACAGTAGCAAATAGAAGCATAAGAGGAGATGAATTTGAGAAATATTTTGAGTGGAGTCATAAAGACTTGGTGACTGATCAGAGATGAAGTGTAGAGAAGAGTGATGAGTCAATAATATCTTCAGTATCATCCTCCCCTCGATGATGAATTGGGTGATATGCTGGTGAAACAAAACACACAGCACCTTTGTTAGATATGGATAAAAGTTAAGGGGTAAATTGAATTTTAATCACATCAAATTTTACCATTTTTTGTAGCTATTTGGAGCACAGCTACAAAACTGTAAACATCTACATAAATTCAGTAATAAAGATAAAGATACACTCAACTCATAGAGGAGACCCTGAATCCTTTCAACAGAGCATTTAAGACTCATTTTACATAGATATCTTTTTCCTTCTTTCTTCCTTTTCTTCTGTTACCAAGCCCACAAGGGATAAGAAGCAACACATCAGAGGAGAATTGCGGTGTACTTGTGTGTTGTTTTGCATACTGGGGAGGGTCCTAGTCAGGCTGATTACACTTAGAAATAACTGGCAAAAGCCTAGTTTTGAGAAAAGGGAGATAAAATATATAGAAAATATATACATGAACTTAAAGACACAAAGATTTGAGGACATTTTGATCATGAACAAAACGGTACACAATCGGTGATCCTGAGGTCATCAGTATTTGGTAACTGAGTCATCAGTAAAAGGTTATACATGATGGTCAAATCCACTATCTGATTAGGAAGGGAAATAATGGATAGGTTTTAGAAATAATCAAAATATAAAACAGTTTTGCAGTAAAACTAAAATGTGATCGATGATGGTGTTACAGCCCTTGGCAGGGGAGTGAAAATGTCAACTGGAGTGTCCTCATGATTGGGCAAGAGGGTCAGAGCAGGGCAGTGGAATACAAGAGCAGCTTCTCCACATGGCTCATTGTGGGGCTGGAGACCTCTGAGCAGCCTCCTGCTGCTGCACCTGCCGCATGAGGCATAGAATGTCTGCCCTGAATGGTGCTACTATCACTGACAATTCCCCACTATCCCTCCTCCACCAGGCTCCTTTGACTGATGGAGGTGTGGGATTTGATGAGCCTCAGCAAACAAAAGCATGGAAGAAATAAAACATGTCCTGTCCTAAACAAACTTTGTCTTTCCTTGTTTTTTCAAAAGCTCCAACTTCACGTTCAGTCCAGTTGCTTTTCAGGCAATCTCTTGGGAGGAATGAATTGGTTAGCAAAAGGGTGGGTGCCTGTTTGTCCAGAGATTGATGACCTGGTTTGGAGAAGTCATTGGCATTCTACTTTGCAAGGGGCGCTCCCTTCTTTGGTCTTCTTTAATTTGTCAGTGCAATTGCAAGTGAAACCCACAAAGAATTCCATTACAAGCCATTTTTTGGTGGAACTCACATGTGATACAGGGAAGTTGGTTCTATGTAAGCTGCCGACTCACGCTTTTTTTTTCTTCAAATAAGTATGTCCTGTGACTACGTGTATGTGGAGCAGAGAAGGAAGGTAGGGGAGTGGTGAGCAGATATAAATTCAGGGTGAATCATTTGTGCAGTTAATAGAAAAGGCCATAGCAATTTTTAAAAAAATTGTCTCAGCAACATAAATAACTCAGTATGCATAAATAACATACATGCATATACATATATTCATGAAAGTATTTACCATGTGAGTGAGTTTGCAAGCATGTACTACCCCAGCTGAGCCTTCAGATGACTGTGGCCCTCACCATCTTTGATTGCAGCTTTGTGAGAGACTTGAAGATGAAAGATGCTGCTGAGCAACACCCTGGCCCAGAGGCCCTGTTAGCTCATATACATGTATTGTTTTAGGCTGCTAAATTATAGGATAACTTGTTATATAGAAATTTATAACAAAGACTTCACCTTTGTGCAAGCAAAGATTTTGGATAAACATAATTTAAGCTAGGACTTAAGTCAATTACAGCAAAGATATTTTTGTTAATACTAGGTCTATTTACTTGCATATCATCCTGCCCCCCATCCTTCACCGTCACCCCCTTAGCTGCCCAGGAGTGTATGTGGCCTATGACTGGTTGCTATGCCACATCTCAGTTTACTCAGGTTGAAGAAGAGGAGTGATGGTCAAGATTTGTTATTTCAAAGACTCCTTTGGTTATATATTAATATTAAGCCCATTTGGTGGGGGGTGGGGGGAATAAGAAATTAGGCTTAAGCATCCACAGCAAATAGTACCTAAAGCCAACAGACAATCAGTTAAGTCATACTTATCAGCATACTTAGAAATACCAGGTTAAAGAAACCACTAATATGAATGAACCCTGTGATGATAGAAAAAAATATAAGCAAACCCATAACAACTCCTGCTTAAAGAATCTTTTCTTTAATTCCCACATCCAAATATGATAAATACTTCCTGGCACTTTTCTTGCTTGGGGCTTAGGATGGTTCATGATCCCAAGGCTGTGGTAATAGTCGCACTGTATATTTTCTACCTTTAGACTCAGATGGTAATCCCTGGGCTCTGATGAGTGGGAAAATGACCACGGAAATGACTCTTATGCTACCACGAGGCTGGCTTGCTCTGGCACCTATGTTTTTTAGAGTGTGAGTGATGTTCTTTACCATCACTCACTGACAGACTACTCAGAGAGTGAGAAAACTGACAACCTGCTTGGTCTAAATACCTTAGTCTAGACCAGCGTGGTCCAGTAGAAATATAATGAAAACCACAAATGCTAGCCCCATATGTAATTTTACATTTTTACATTTTTTTAGTAGCCACATTTTAAAAAGTTGAAATCAATATTAATGATATATTTTTTTCTTTCTTTCTTTCTTTCTTTCTTTCTTTCTTTCTTTCTTTCTTTCTTTCTTTCTTTCTATCTTTCCTTTCTTTCTTTCTTTCTTTCTCTCTCTCTCTCTTTCCTTCTTTCTTTCTTTCTCTTTCTTTCTTTCTTTTCTTTCTTTCTTGCTTGCTTGCTTGCTTGCTTGCTTTTTCTTTTCTTTTCTTTCTTTTCTTTCTTTCTGACAGAGTCTTGCTCTGTTGCCCAGGCTGCGGTGCAGTGGCACGATCTTGGCTCACTGCAACCTCCACCTCCCAGGTTCAAGCGATTCTCGTGCCTCAGGCTCCTACGTAGGTGGGATCACAGGCATACACCACCACGCCTAGCTAATTTTGTATTTTTAGTAGAGATGGTGTTTCGCTATGTTGGCCAGGCTGCTCTCAAACTCCTGGCCGCAAGTGATATGCTCACCTTGGCCTCCCAAAGTGCTGGGGTTACAGGCATGAGCCGCTGTGCCCGGCCTAATGTTAATAGTATATTTTCTTTAACCCAATCTATTCAGTATCTTATTATTCAAACATGTAATCAATGTAAAAAAGTCACTAATGAGGTCAGTTACATTCTTTTTTCATAGGAAGTCTTCAAAATCCAGTGTGTATTTAATGGCATTTGTAATATCTTACTTTACACTCCCCACGTTTCAAGTATTCAGTAGCCACCTGTGGCTGGTGACATCTGCACTGGCTAAGGCTGGTTTAGAATGTGTGCAGCAGCTGCTGCCTCTCAGGCTGCTCAGGACCCAGCCTCATGACACTCTTCAGCCTCCTAATGAACTGCCTGTCACATTCTTTCTGCCCCACAGCCTTCCTGCTCTGTGAGCCTCCTCCTCTATGAGCTCTTTCAGCTTTCCTACTTTCTTGTACTGTATAATTCGGCTTCACTTGGGGATTCTATTTAACAGCAAGTTCTTGGGATGTTCCTCTAAAGTGCTTTTTTGAAATAAGAAACTAACATGATATACATTATGGCTGCATTCAAACTGTTCATCAACTATCCATTACATCTGCCATCTCCCTTCTGCCAATCGAGGTAACGATGTTATTATTTTAAAAATCATATTTTAATTATAATCCAATCAGAAGATGCATCCATTATGTAGAGTGCTTTGGCATGTTCTAAGAATTTATTTTTTGCACAAATAGTAGAGCAAATGCTGCAGAGAGGAAAAGGCTCATTTGTTTCTTCATTAATTCAGTGATTGAAAAGCGATATACAGAGTATTCAGTATGCAGAGGTGTGTGCTTGGTGGGGGGCACAAAGTTATACAGGCCATGTGGCCCCTCCTCTCAGGAAACTCACAGCCTGATCAGGGAGATTAGTCATGAACAGATGTACAGTGTGGCCACGTGCCTCTAGGAGGAATCTGAGTGGGGTGACCAAGGAGACCTCTTGGAGGAGGTGAAATTGCACTAGGTGTTGAAAGTGTGGGTAAGATTTTGATGTGTCACCATGGATGGGAAGGGAGAGGCAGGAGATTATTTAAACAGAGACTGGCCTGATTCTATGACACAAGGAGGTAAAACGATACATAGAAAATGTCTGCAAGAATATGTCTTTTTGACAGGCTGATAGGGAAAGGGGGTCGAGGCCCCTGTGGGCAGTGAGATGCACACCTAGGTCAAGCTGGATTGTGGTAGGATTTTCATGCTGGGCTGAGGAGAGTGCATCTCATTTTCTGGGCTGGGTGGAGCCACGGAAGATTCTACGCGGGGCTGTAAGAGGATCATAGCCGTGGTTTGTGAGGAAGGACCTGGCGTGTGTGCATTTGTGCGTAACAATCGGGAGTGGGGGAAGACTCGGAACGCTTTGTCTCTTGTGGGAACAAACAGTATTAAAGTAATGGGTTTATGCATTTCTTGACCTTTAAAAAATGGTATTTTCAGCAAACTTCCTCCTCCCCACCTCACCCTTGTTAAATATTTCATCTCAACTGGAAAATACCCACAACAATGATTTTTTTTTATGGTTTTAGCCTTTCAGTAATAAACCAAAACAAACAGTAGGGAGCTTAAAAAGCCTTTCAGCTGAGAAAGATGAAAGCATATGCCTCTAGTTTAGATTATTGTTAGAAAGCACAAGAGTCGGTTTCTTCTGGAAATCCTGTGAGGCGGAGAGAGCTGGAGGAAATGATGCCACATCCACCCCATTCTTGACCTGATATTTTGGTAGTATTTCTTACTTGCCCAGGGTTTACACTTGTGCCCCAGAATCTCATTGTCTGAAGCAAGATCCTGCTTTCCTCCCCAGTAGCTGGGACTCTGTAGTCTTTCAACCTGCAGGCAGAGCCCCAGTGAAAGAGATGAAGAAATGGGCACTCATCTTTTGCAAAACCATTGAGAAAACAACAATGACTTTATGGCTAAATGCTCTAAGTGCAGTAACAAAGGTGCTTTCAGGCAAAGGGCATGGTTTCTTTTTCTTTTTTTTTCAGATGGAGTTTTCTGTGTCGCCCAGGCTGGAGTGCAATGGCATGATCTCGGCTCACTGCAACCTCTGCCTCCCAGGTTCAAGCGATTCTCCTGCCTCAGCCTCCCAAGTAGCTGGGATTACAGGCATGTGCCACCATGCACAGCTAATTTTGTATTTTTAGTAGAGGTGGGGTTTCACCATGTTGGTCAGGCTGACGAACTCCCAACCTCAGGTGATCCACCCGCCTTGGCCTCCCAAAGTGCTGGGATTACAGGCGTGAGCCACCGGGTCATGGTTTCATAATGCAGTTCTTTGCCTAGACCACTGACTTAAGGTGGATCTGTCACTATGACCTTGAATTACCCAAAGCTCCAGTTAACAGCAACAAGCAAACATACATTCCTTGTCTGTCTACACCATTTATTTCCAAAAGCCTTTGCTTACCCCATTCCTCCCACTTGGAATAGCCTGCCAATTTATTTTTTTCATTTGTTCAGCAAACATTTACTGAGAACCCACTGTGTGCCAGAGCCCAGGGGTTCAGAAAGGAATAAAATATAATATTTTAGGAGCTCACAGGGCACATGGATGTTAAAACATAATATGCTAAGTACCATGATTGGCCTCATTTTCAAGGTTGTGGGGATACCCAACCCAGTCTATGAGGTCAGAAGAGAGAATGTCTTCTTTTCAAATAATGACCTACAAGCTAACTGCTATGGTCAGAATGTTTGTGACCTTCCCAAATTCATATGTTGGAAGCTAACCCCCAGGGAAATGGTATTGACATGGGACCTTTAGGAGACAATTAGGTCATGAAGGCCCCACCCCCATGAAGGAAATTAGTGCCCTATGAAAGAGGCCTGAGGCCAGCTGTGTGGTCCTTCTGCTATGTGAGGCCACATAGAAGGAGCCTTCTGTGAGGAAGAGGCCCTTACGAGACACTGAATCTGCTGGCACCTTTGATCTTGGACTTCCTGGCCCCCAGAACTGTGAGCAATAAAGTTCTGTTGCTTATAAATTACCGAGTCTAAGGGATTTTGTCACAGCAGCCCAGATAAACTAAGATACCCACTTCCCATAAGACCCTAGCACCTTCAGCATCCTCCCTCATTTGATGCCTCCTTCCCCTGAGCTCTGTCCCTTGTTCCTAAGTATTTTCTGTCATTACATTTACTTTTATATTCTTGCCTCTTTATTGGAACAAACAAATTAATGAGTTTACAGAAATTTTGACCTTTTAAAACGAATAAAACTCCTTATTCCCCAAGGCCTTGTTAAATATCCTACATCAATTGGATAGCATCTGATACCACCAGGGAGAAGGGGGGTCATCAAGATTGGGCTAGATTAAGCAAACTCATTCTCTTGTGCTTTGATTTAATAACCACATCTTAAGCACCTATATGTTTTATGGTGTTTTAATTTGAACAAATAAATTGTAGTCCTTACCCTCATAAGGCTTGCATTGTAGAGGTAGTATAAGCTAATATATACCAAACTAAAACAAAGTAAACACACAAAACCTGGTGATAAATACTGAGAACCAAAATTAAAAATAAAGCTTTTGGGGAGGTGGGCCTGTGATTTTTTTTTCATACTGTGCTCATTTTAATAAGCATTATGTTGGCCACCTTGCTGACCTGCAGGGAAGATTGCTGGCTGATTAATGCAATGCATGGGCTTACGAGAAGGGCTCTGGATCACACAGGGGGATATGATGGGGACAGGTAGCAGGTACAGGCTGAGGTTCACTCCTAGGGAGAGACTTGCTGAATTGGCCTCAACTCCCAAGGTTGTTTTGAAGCAGGTACCTAGGCCTCTAGAGCCCTGGGAGGGTTCCCTGGGGGACACAGGCTTCATTTCTTCAGAGCCAGCTCTTTCCTACAGTGTATGCTATGACATTTCCATGGTCCTCCTGCTCTTTCCTTATAAATAAGCACCTCTTAGCTTGAGTTTGGGGCCATTAGAGACTCCATACAGGAAAAGTGAGCAGTCAGTCTTAATTTCTGACAATTTCTAAAGAGGCACAAACTAAATGGTGCTTTGAAAGAGGGGATATTTGGGTGCTGGGGAGAAGAGGAAGTAATACAGCGTGATGAAGCCACACCAGACCATCCCCATGATGACTGGAGCCTGCTTCCAATTGGGTTTCTCTCTCTTTCCCAGAGTGAAGGACAGAAAGGGCCAGGTAGGCTACCTTGGCTAAAGAGGAATGTTTGCAGCTGGGTGAGGTGTTTCACGTCTGTAATCCCAGCACTTTGGGAGGCCATGGTGGGTGGATCACCTGAAGTCAGGAGTTAGAGGCCAGTCTGGTGAACATAGTGAAACCTCGTCCCTCCTAAAAATACAAAAAAAAACAAACAAACAAACAAACAAACAAACAAAAAAAAAATTAGCTGGGTGTGATGGTGGGCTCCTGAATCCCAGCTACTTGGGAGGCTGAGGCAGGAGAATCACTTGAACCTGGGAGGTGGAGTTTGCAGTGAGCTGAGATTGTGCCACTGCACTCCAGCCTGGGCGACAGAGCAAGACTCCATCTCAAAAAAACAAACAAAACAAGAAAAAAACAGAAAAATGAGGAATGTTTGCCATTTGCTTGGTAGAGTTTGTAGGAAGAACCACCGGAGCGACTTACCAAACAATTTATAGACCTGTGCTTCCAGTGGGATACACTTTTGACATTTGTTGGAAGCAAGGCTCAAAATGTCCTTTGTCCTTGCTTATGTAGCTCAAACACCTTAGCAGTAATGTGTAAAGCTTGAGGAGATGCCAGCATTCGGAGAGATGGCCCACAGTTGGAGGCCGCAAGAGAGCAAGACACTGCCTGCAGGGTGTGCTCAGCCTCTATGGGCTCCTCTCAAGACCCCAGCTGGAGACCTTCTGGACAAGGCCCAGATGGAGTGGCCTGACCAGCTGGCACAGCAGTCGGCTTTTATTGTGTGTTAGATGTGAGACATGTGCAGTGAACCATCCGACAACCAACCAACACACTTTAATTGGCGCCTGCTGGGTGCCCTGCCCATGCAAGATTACCACAGGCAGGGCTGCACCAGCCTGGTGGGAGCAACAGGAAAGGAGGCACTCAATGGAGGGCTTGTTGGTGGCTCTGGGCAGTGGTCCTCAGCCACTGGTGTGAAATAAGCTTATTAGAATGGCTTTCTAGATCCTACCCTGGAAAATTCCGATTTATTAGATCTAGGTCGGTGGGTGGTTGTGGGAGTCCAGAAATCTGACTTTTTGGCAAGCACTCCAGGTCACTCTTCCAGCTCAGCCCAGTCTTTGATGGGAGTAAATGGCATAGACTCATAGAAGCAGAGCTGTTTGAATTAGCTTTTTCCAGGGTCTAATGTTTCTCTGGACCTGATATGGATGCTCTGTCTTTTATTTCCCACACTTCTGCTCACAATGAGGTAGCTCACAGTGTTGTCAAAGGTGTCCTGTCCTGTGGATTCCTAAGAGAAGTCACAGAGGAGACCAGTAGGGGTATTTACTAAAATACCATAACAACCATTACTACTATTACCAGCATTTATTGAGATCTTCTAAACCTTTGCCTCATTACCTTGTTTAATTATTATAGCCAATAATTGAGATCTGCAGTGTTATTCTCCTCATTTTACAGATGAGAAAACTGAGGAAGAAAAGGGAGAATAGCTTGCCTGCGATTTCACAGCTGGCAGGTGAAGAGGTACCTGGCTAAGGAAACTTGTCGGGGGGGCTAATGCAGAGCACAAAAATGACATAGGACAGG
Source organism: Homo sapiens (assembly GCF_000001405.40). Taxonomy (NCBI): domain Eukaryota; kingdom Metazoa; phylum Chordata; class Mammalia; order Primates; family Hominidae; genus Homo; species Homo sapiens. The sequence continues at coordinate 22,889,522 of NC_000002.12, read as the reverse complement.
AACAAGAGAATGGTTTCTGTTGTTGGGTTTCAGTTTTCTCACCTGTAAAATAAGAGTTTTAGATTATGTGACCTCTAGGCAGGGCTGCCTTTGTGGGTGTGTGACCTGTGCAAACAAGGCCCATGGTCAGAGGGGTCCCAGGCTTGGTTGCATGCTCAGCTGTTGCCATCATGAAACAAACTGCTAATAATAAGCAAAAGAGTCCCACATTTTCATTTTTCAATGAACCCTACAAAATAGGAAGCAGATCTTGTCCTCAAGGATACTTTGTATATGTATACAGTCAGGCCTCCATATCCATGGCATCTGCAACCATAGATTCATCAAGCTGTGGATCAAAAATATTTGGAAAAAAATAGCATCTGTACTGAATATGTACAGACTACTTTTCTTGTCATTATTCCCAAAACAATACAGTATAACAAATATTTATATAGCATTTACATTGTATTATGTATTATAAGTAACCTAGAGGTGATTTAAAGTAGGAGGATGTGTGTAGGTTATATGCAAATACGATGTCATTTCATGTCAAGGACTTGGGCATCCACAAATTTTGGTATCTGAGGAAGGCCCTGGAACCAATTCCTCTTGGATACTGAGGGATGACTATGTATATGCAGGTGTAGGTGTATGTATATTTTTTTCCTCTACTCTCTTACAGATCCTTGACAATTCCCTGCGCACCCTTAGCCACGAAACCACCTTCTGCATCAGGGATGGAGCAGTGGGCTGACCCAAACTTCATGTGAGTAATTTCTGGCTGGCCATGAGTGTGTCTGTAGAGACGTGGGAGGCGCTTGCAGAGCAATACAGGTGGAGAGCTTGCTGATGGCTAAGGATGGGGCACCATGTGAGCTGTCCGCTGGCTGCTGATAACAGCCACAGCCTCCAGGCAACTTTGAGTTTGTGAATTTTATCACTAAGTGGCTCACTGACAGCATAAATAGGTGCATAGATCTAAAGAGTACACTAGCAAGCCCTCCATGCAGAAGATGTTTGAGGATTCAGGGAGAAGTCGAGGTTCATAAATTCAGTTCTCCAGAGAGGCATCTGGAGCATTTGCTGGCTACCTCTCACTCATTCTTTGGCCCTGATCCCCACCCCCACTTGCCCACTGGCAGCCCCACCTTCAACAGCCCCTTGTCCCAGGAATTTGTCCCCATGGGTGGTGCCTGGGACAAGCTTTATAAAACATTAATTTCTTCCTGACAATAGCTAAGGTTACCATACACACAGTTTGCAAAATTCATTATATTCACTGTCTAAAAGGCTTGGGTCAGGAACGAAGGAGGGAAATGTTTATTGAGTGCTTAATGTGTGATTCCTTATTTTTGTCTCTCTAGCTCTTCTTCCAAGTAGTGTCTTAGTCCCATTGCCTTCTAATGTTAGAAAGGTCTTTGTCAGGGTTAATGACTTCGATTCCTGTCAGCGCTGAGGCAAAATATTCAGACACTCGATGATCTTTATACCTTGACACTTATAGGCAGAACAAAGATAAGCCATGAGGAAAGCGTGTGTGTGTGTGTGTGTGTGTGTGCGCGTGGCATGCGCATTTGTGTGTGTGTGTGTTTGTGTGTGAGAGAGAGAGAATCAGAGAGAGACAGAGAACTGGGCATGCAATCAGACCAGTTCTTTTGCCCTGAGTTAGACATTTTCCCCACCTCTTCCTCCTCCTCCCCTTCCAGCTTTGAGATCTTTTACAAATTATTTTTTGAATAGTCCTCCCTTCATCTAAGCTTGGACATTGCTTCCTCCAGAAACCTGCATGCATCCTCTGCTGAGGTCTGGGTCACATGCCTACTTTTATGCTTCCAGGGCACTTGTCCCTAGCCTAGTATTGCACGTCTCACTCTGCACTGCAATTGTTTATTTACTCATGTGTAGCCCCACTGGGCCACAATCTCCATAAGGGCTGGCGGTGGGACTGTCTTGTTTACTGCTGCAGCCCCGGTGAGGATTAATGAATGTCTGGTAAAAGAATGAATACACAGCATGAAGAAGAGATACAAATGGCAGCAACTGAGACCTGGTGTCTCAGGTGTAAAGATAGATGCCTTCCATGCCTTGCATGGAAGCAGTTCCGTCTGCAAGGCCCAGCCAGGAATGACTTGTATAAGTCTGTATTGCTTGAGCACTCATCAGGCACCAGGAAGCCACACAGGACTTTATTTGTATCATTCTGTTTAATATTTATAACAACTGGACTAAGTAGGTCCTGATTAAGGTTTTATGGAGAAGGTAACTGAATCTTGAAATGTTGGTCAGGCATATAAGAAGGAGAAGGGTTTCTAACTCCAATACAGCCAACTGAGGTCTGTCTAGGGGTGTAAAACCTGGCTCAAGTGAGCATGTCTGTGGCTGGAGGACAATGGAGACTGCACAAGAAATGTGGTGGCAGTGCTGAACTTCACCTGAGGCCTGTGCTTCTGGAAACAGTGGCTGTTAGGAAGGCTGCCACCCTACTGTGTTTCCAGAAAAGCAAACCACAAAGAGCACACTCTAGTGTATTCCTAAGACAACCCATTTTCATTCTTCCCCATGAATTCCAGAAGACTTGCAGATGATTCCCTTGTTTACCTGCTTCTATGAAGCTCAAGGCCTGCTTCCTTTTCTCTGATATGTTCTTGTTCCCCATTAATGACTCTTCTTCCCATTGCAGTAGCCCAAATGATATAATCTCCTTAATTGTCCCATATTGTCCTAGTCACTTCAGGCTGCTATAACAAAGTACCAAGGACGGGGTGGCTGATAAACAACAGACATTTATTTCTCATGGTTTGGGAGGCTGGAAGTTCAAGATCAGGGTGCCAGCATAGTTGATGTCTAGCGACATCAGGGTTCAAGGTTGCAGACTGTTGTCTTCTCACTGTGTCCTCATATGGTGGGAAGAGGGCTAGAGAACTCTTGGGTCTCTTTTAGAAGAGAACTAATCCTATTCATGAAGGCTCCACCCTCATGGCTTAATTATCTCCCCAATATTTTATTTCCTAATACCATCTCACTGCGGGGGAAGGGGAGGAGGGGTCAGGATTCCAGCATATGAATTTTAGGGACCCAAACATTCAGCCCATATTTTACCATACAAAGGAGGTATGTCTGATGAAAGAGGGAGGGATCAGATTACGGAAGGCCCAGTAAGCCACGGTCAGGAGTTTGGACTTGCTTTTGTAGGTGCAGAAAGCCAGTGGTGGAACAGAAGTAGTTTTAATGGTGGAATAGCAAAGACAGACATGCATTGCAGTAAGATCATTCTGCCTTCTGTATGTGAAAAGTATTGCAGGGAGAATATACTGAAGACAAAGAAATTATATACTCTGATAAGAAAAGATGGGGCTCCTAGCTAGGCAGTGTCAGTTATGCATGGTGCGCCAAGGATGGTACACTCCAAACATGGTACCTGGATGTAAGGCGGCCGAGGGAAGGGTCTAGGAGGTCTTGTTGGACTGCAAGGGCATTCATATCTGGGTGATGTTAGTTTACTGTCAGCCATCACGAGAGGGGCTGTCCTTAGTGTGCACCATGGAATGTGAGCTGCTTGGAAAGGGCACAGGCAAGCCAACTGCATGTGAAAGGGTAAGCAGGTTTTGGTGGGACCATCAGAAACCAAACTCAGAAGCAGATGCCTGTGAGCCTCCACAAATACATGGAAAGGGGTGGGAGACCCAATACACACAGGGCCTCCTGCAATCCGATCAGGCTGTTTGTTTGTTTGTTTGTTTCTTGTTTTTTTTTTTTAAACAACAAACTACAACAGTTGGAGAAGAGATTCCCTAGCATTATGAACCTGGCCAAAATCACTTCATGGAAGGCTGCAAGGAAAAGGAAAATGAACAACATGGGCATAAAGACACCCAGAGAGATTACAGTTGTGTTTACATTTGTCCATCTTCTGCTCCATTGTTGGTTAGCAATAATCAGGTGTCAATAGAGACCTGGGTCCTGAGCCCCTTCAGCCTCTCATCTGTAAACCAACACTAAGGAAATGCAGGTATTTTATGACCTTCATGGGGAGAGCTGTTTTTATGGTAGGTGCCACACTGGAAAGCAGCGAATGATTCAGGTGCTAATTCCTCAGAGAGGAAGACACCTTTCTTATGCATCTTCACAAGCCTGTGCTCAGATTGGAGCTGTGAATCCCAATCACCCTGGTGAAACATTCTCATTCTTCTAGGTTGTTCTCAAGATATTTGTGGGTTTTTTAAAGTGTTTTTCACACATTAATACCATTTTCAGGCTTTTATTTTTCTCCTGGTGTTTGATTGCCTGAAAACTAATGTAGATGTAAGCACTTCTCTGGGCTCTCAGTGAAAAATGTTACATTAAGGTAATTACAGCCATGATGATTCATACTGTCCTGGTATCACGAATCTGGGTCTACAGGTAACTCTCCACATAAAGCCCTGAATTAAACTCTTTCCTCTGAATATGGCATCTCCCCTCTTGGCACTTCTCTAGGCCAATGCTTTCAGGACGGTTCACATGCTGGGGACTTCCTATGCTTCAGAGTCCATCCTCCTATGCCTGATAACCAGGCCTGTAGGGTCAAGCGTTCACTCATGTCACCATCTGGATTTTATATAGAAACCACAAACCACACATGTCTCAATATAGAATTGTCATCTTTCCTGCCCTCCCCATTCCTTTCCCTTCATACTGCTATCAATTGGCTGTCAGATGGGAACCATCTGAGACAGACTTCTAGAGGAAGTAATGCTACAGTTAAAGAATGAGTAGGTATTAGCCAGGCAAACTGCAGAGTGTTATCAGGCCTGGGAGAAGGCCAGGAGTTTGGCAAATGGCTTCTTCCTGGATCTGAAAATGCTTATTATTACTGATCATCAGAGAAATGCAAATCAAAGTCACAATGAGATATCATCTCACAGTAAGAATGGCTATTACTAAAAAGTCAAAAACAAAAAACAAAAAAACAACAACAGATACTGGTGAGGCTGCAGAGAAAAGGGAATGCTTATATACCATTGATGGGAATGTAAATTATTTCAGCCACTGTTGAAAGCAATTGGGAGATTTCTCAGAGAACTTAAAACAGACCTACCATTCCACCCAGCAATCCCATTACTGGGTATATACCCAAAGGAAGATAGATCATTACACCCAAAAGACACATGCACTCATACGTTCATCACTGTGATGTTCACAATATCAAAACATGAAATCGACCTAGGTGCCCATCCATGGTCGGCTTGATAAAGGAAATGTGGTACATATACACCATGGAATACTACACAGCCATTAAAAGGAATGAAATCATATCCCTTGCAGTAACATGGATGCAGCTACAGACCATAATCCTAACTGAATTAATGCAGGAACAGAAAATCAAATACCATGTGGTCTCACTTGTAAGTGAGAGCTAAACACTGAGTACACATGGACATAAACATGGGAGCAGTAGACACTGTGGACTACTACAGGGAGAAGAAAGGGAAGGAGCATAGCTTGAAAAACCACCTGTTGGCGCCTATGCTTACTATCTCACTATCTGGGTGCAACATACTCATGTAACAGACCTGCATATGTACCCCCTGTATCTAAAACAAAAGCTAAACTTTTATTTTATTTTTTAATAAAAAAGATAGCTGGAGCATTCACGATTTCTTTCTACTGGAAGAATGTCATAACATCTAACAAGACAATTTCACATGCGCCCATATTTTGTCCCTCCTCTTCCCTTTTTTCCATATATTTTTATTGTTTTCATCCTTAAATGGAAGCTTATTGTAAAAAATCTGAAAGTATTAACCATTTGCAAACTTTGTAATTTTTTAACTATGCTCCCCTGGAAATAACCAGAGAATGGAATCTTTCCCAAAGTAATAGCCATGTCGGTGACCAAATCCTACAAAGCAACAGACCTTATCAGGAGGAACAGGGACTTTTTGTACCTGTGAGAGACAGAGAAGAAGGGAGATATTGAAGGCTGGGGACATTAAGGGGATATTGAAGAAGGGAGATATTGAAGTAAGATGACTTACAAAGGTCTTATTTGTATTTGGCAATTTCTCTGTCTTTCAGGACTTTGGAAACCATTGAGAACAGCAGTTTCTGCTATTTCAAAGCAGATGATATGTGCTCGGTGGGGTTGGTGAAAAGGGGAATTTGGTAAGGCAGTAAAGATTTGCGTGGGACAGCATTGTTTTAAAATGTGGATAAAGTGTATTCATTAGGAAATACTGTCAGTTTTCTGTCTCTTACATGTTCCCAAAGTGATTGTGTTCAGCTGAATGATGACAAATTTCCCACGCCTTCTGATCCATGCTTCTGTCTTCCTGCATGACGGTGTGAGATGTTCTTTTCTTGTGCATGTTATGAACCTGCATTGTTTTTCTGTGACCCCAGTGCCAAGAGGCCAGGAGATTGTGGTCCAGAAGTAAAGGTAGTGGTGGAAGTTTTTGTGTGTCTGTGTGTGTAAATGGGTTGGTTGAACGTGTGTGTGCATCATTGTGAAAGTATGAGCTGTGTTTCTGTGTGAATACATTTGCAAGGTGTTTTGCAAGTGAAGGCCCATTTCTTTTTAAAAATAGAACTGCTTTTCTAAGACAGGAATGCTGAGTAAGTAGAAGGACGGCTCTGAGTTTTAGAGGGAGCTTTCCAGAAATTGGTGCAAGGAACTTGCTAATGGTACTGAGAGATAGATGGGGAGATGCACAGACCATGCTGTGTTTTGCATTTCAATCTCTGTGGATCCTCTCTCCCTGCCTATGCATATTTAAAATTCCTTTCAATATATAAATAGGATAATTCTCTCTTCTCATCCCCACCAGAGTTCATTTAACAGGCACAAAAAGAATTGTGCATCCAGGCCTGTCTTTTCCTGCTCCTTGTTTTACTATTTATTGGTTTTTCTCATTTTTTTTCTCTCCCACATTGCTCCCTTTGGATTAAACTGTGTCTCAGGATTGTCCAGGGGAAGAAATGCATTTTTTCTACATACGGCTAAGCCAGAGGGAGGTGGTCTCTAGGATTGCTCTGCTCTGTGGCACCAACCCACAACTTTCCACAACTCCACCTTTTTTTTTTTTTTTTTTTTTTTTGTGAGAAGGGCTGCATTTCTTTTCTTTTTTTTAAAATATATTTTATTTTTATTATACTTTAAGTTCCAGGGTACATGTGCACAATGTGCCAGTTTGTTACATATGTATACATGTGCTGTGTTGTTGTGCTGCACCCATTAACTCGGAAGAAAGGGTATCACAACTCCACTTTGAATACAAAGTCCAGAGCTTTTGACAATCTGGGCTTTTGCAACTTTCCCTTATCACAGTCTCTTCCCATTCTTGATGATAAGTGCTCATTTGCCCATGAATGAAACTTCAGCAGTTTCCATTGTCCCAAAGGCACAAGTTAAGATGTAGAATCCTTGATGGGAAGGACACTGGGCAAGGATATGAACTTAGATCTAGGGGACGGTGCCTATGACAATAGGCAATCAAGCTCTTCTTCCTAGAAAAAAGCTCTAGGAAGCTTTGGTTGAGTCTAATGGTTTTGTCTCATATTGAGAATATGAATAATTCAATCACTTCAGAATCATCTTTAGAATCCCCAAAATCATGAAAATGGTATATGCAAATATAAAAAAGTTTATTATACCTGAATAGCAAATATGGATCTGAGGATTTTGGTTGCTGGCTTTTTGAACATTCATAATTTCTATTTGTGTTTTTGTTGTTACCACTATTGTTTGTTTTAGGTATTGTAATGGTTAAGGCCAGGCGCGGTGGCTCACACCTGTAATCCCAGTACTTTGGGAGGCCAAGTGGTGGCTGATCTCTTGAGCTCAGGAGTTCCAGAACATCCTTAGCAACATGGAAAAACCCTTTAAAAATAGTGGTTAAGGGCGTGGACTATTGAGCTAAACTGCATTAGATCAAATGACACTTCCTAGCTGTGTAATCTTGGGCAATTTACCTTTTTTCTTTTTCTTTTTTTCTTTTCTTTTCTTTTTTTTTTTTAGATAAGGTCTGGCTCTGTTGCCCAGACTGGGGTGCAGTGGCACAATCTTGGCTCACTGCAACCTCTGCCTCCCAAGCTCAAGTGATCCTCCCACCTCAGCCTCCCAAGCAACTGGAATTACAGGCCCACGTCACTATGCCCAGCTAATTTTTTGTATTTTTTGTAGAGACAGTGTTTTGCCGTGTGGCTCAGGATGGTCTCGAACTCCTGGGCTCAGACAATTCAGCCACCTCAGCCTCCCAAAGTGCTGAGATAACAGGTGTGAGCCACCGCGTTAAGCCATGGACAAGTTATCAGACCTTTCTATGCTTTAGTTTCTATACAGGTAAAATGTGGCCAGTGACAGAGTTTTTGTAAGGATTAAATGAGTTAATATGCTAACAACACTTAGAACTATGCCTGACAGCATAAGCACTATGTAAGTGTTCCATCCTCTTATGGTAAGTCACCGTGGCTGTTATAGTTGATGTCTGGAAGGTGTGCTGAATAGCATGTCCTGCATGAAAATATGATAATGGCTCTTGTGTTTGCAACTAGTATCTATTAATTAAGAAACCGTCATTTGTGCTCTGTAATTATATTTATTAAACCCTAACTCCTATCATAACAATAATTAGTTCTTGCTAATTAAATTTATCAAATTCCCTCTGGATTCATATCTTAGGTAAATATTTAGTAGCCCTACACTAATTATTTTAATCAACATGGAGTGTATTTCAAATGACTACAAATTGTTCTAACTAATTAGATTGAGTACAAAATAATATCTTATGTAATAAATTTGCAGGTGCTCAAAAGAGTGGGAACGAGCCACAGGATAACGTCTCAGAGACCTAACCACCTGACTTGGTTAGCGAGTACAGCTTTTTCAAAGCTCAGCCAAGATACTAGGGGAAGTAGCCTGAGAAGGTTTATTATCTCTGTCCTGATTTGTGTTCTACTGCCAATGTTTTGAGCATGGAGCAAGCACTGTGTGTGATTCAAAAACATGCCATATGATTTAAAATTGTACCCATCAACTCTAGTAATTACTGTGGGAGCAAGAAGCCAGCAGTAGCAATGACAGCAGCAACAGCAGTAGGATGAATCCCTGCTTCAAAGAGTTTGAAGGAAGAAAGGCACACTCTCCGAGGTACTTCCTTCTGCAGGCTTGGTCTCCTCATCCTCGAGCCACACACTGTCAGTTCTACCATGTGCTAGGAGGTCCTCCTACCTCCCGCTGCCAGCTCCTTCATAACAAAGAAAATGAATCCGTGAATTACAGCTGGTTGATTGGCATCCTGTTGCTAGGAAACTATAAAACGAATGTATCATATTTCATAATAAAAATGTCTCTGACCCATTCCTACAAAGACATGCACATTGACTTGTGGCTCCCTTGTGGGAGTGGCCTCTCTTTCATCTAATCACTTCTGGGGTCATTTTGAGGCCCCTGGCTCTGGTTAATGGTGGCCAATCTCTGGCCACACACAGGGCTGTCTGTGGCCTGAATTAGGGTTCTGCTTATGACTAGGATTGGGCTATCTATGGCTGGAATAGGGGTCTTGGTCTCACATTGGTAAGATGTTCCATTTACAATGGAGTTTCAGGACTCAGTCTGGGGTTGGAATTTGGGTGTAGGCTATTGTTAAGTTCATTAGGGAGAGGATAGAAGAAAATGGCTGTTAAAGTAGTGGTGGTTGGCTTACATTATAATAAAAATATTCCATCTCAAGAATAAAAATGGTAAGTTAAAGTATCAAACAATCCATGTAAAGAACTACATGTTTTCAACATGGTCTCCGGCCCTTTTTGTAAATGACAAGTGAATTATCACAAACAAGCAGCCAGCAATGGATATCCAGGGCATGGTGTCTGGAATCACTCCGGGCTATCCTGACCTATGCTTCCTGGCAGCCTATCTGTTACCTTCTATTTTTGTGGAGGAAGTATCTCGAGTGGGCATGAGATGGACCACGGGAGACATATTTGACAGTGAATCTGCACTTTTGCCTTTCAGAGAGGCATAAAAGCACACACGAGTTATAGAAAATGCAGGAGTATTATCTCCCCCTCTCATTAAGCTGTCATCCGCTTCGGTGCAGATCTGTCTCTTGGTTTTGAATCTCACTTTCCCCCACTTCTGGCTCTCCTTGGAGTATTTTTGATCTCATGCAGCCACCTTTATGATAGATGAATCATTCCTATGTCAACCATAGTCATCATGAATCCTCTGAGTGAGCTGGCAAGAGAAAATCGCTTTTAAGAGAACAGACCTCCTAGGGGCCACGGGTGGTTAAAAAAATCTGAGAACTCTGGATTGATGGTGATAGGATCAGATCACAGCCAGCTAGAAAGGATGAGATAACAGGCCCAGGAAGGGGTCTGGTTTGGTTCAATATAACACAGAGCTAGAACTCAGGACTTTTTTTTTTTTTTTTTTGCACCGTGATAAACAAGTAACTGAACGAGACTTGCCACGTGTCAGCGGAAGGCAAATAGGCCATATAATAGAATCATGATGTGGTCTTCATGTGAACCCATGGGCCTGACCATTAAGTTTTGTTCAGAGAGTTTAAGTAAGACTTCAGGACCAAAACTGCATTCGGGCCCAAGACAGGTTGTTTCTGAAATTCTTACTCTCTTTCATCCCATTTCTATTCCAGGGGATGTCCTTGCCAGTAATGGTCATGGTAATGGGCCTTCCACTCAATGCAGGCAGCTCTGCAGATGGCATGAGAAAGCCTCTCAGAGATGGTCTCCTAAGCGAGGGGATTAGGTAACATAACCATGCTCTTGCTGTGGTTGGCAAAATGTGCGTATGTTATTTATATAATTGTGCCTTACAGGTGGGGCTTAGAATTTATTTTAACTGAGAGAAAATTTTTCTGAATGGAGCTGAGATCAGATCATGTATATACTACATATAGCTTTCTTCCTTTGCGGTCACCATAAAGTCATCCATTCACCTATGCTTACCGGTTAGTTCTGAAAGAGTCACCATGTATGGCTTTGTGCATGAAGATGCTCCCTCATCCCCTCCCTGCCCAATTATGTCCAGGGAATCCTTCTTTTAAGGAATAAAATGCCTTATTTTATGCTTTGAACAATTTTTATCCCAGATTGTGACTAAAGAATAGGAAGAAAGCATATATCTTCTGAAAGAATCCACTACAAAAGAGTCTGATGGGCATAGAAAGGAGGCATTGCAGCTGCTTCATTTCTGTGCCTTTCACAGGAGTCTCCTGAGAAGGCACCCTGCAGCCTGCCAATTGTTCTTTTTTCTTTAATGGATTATCCAATAGAGATCCAAAGCCCATGGCAGAATGGGCAGAGAACCACAAAGTCTGAGCACATTACTCCTCAAACTGAGAACAGTGACGTTTGAACATTCACTTCTCAATCCACTGTCATATGGCTTCTGTCCTGCTAATGGCGCTGATTTTTCTACATCACTAAATGTAACAGATATTTAAATCTGACAGAACTTTCAGCAGGATTTAATGTAATTGAGCACATACATTCTCATTGTCTTCTCTTGACTCTCTGAACAATACACTTTCCTAGGTTTTTCCTCAGTGTTGGCTGTATCTTAGTTTCTTTAATTGGGCTTTCTCAAAGTTTAATCCTAAATTTTCTTTTCTATATCTTTTTTTAACAAATTCAATGATCACCTATACCTGCATTGTCCAATATGGTAACCACTAGCTAAATGTGGCTAGTAAGCACTTGGAAAGTGGGTATCTAAACTATACTGCTATATGGATAAAACACTGTAAAGTTTGAAGACTTATTGCAAACAAAAACAAAAAAGAATGTAAGTATCTCAATAATTTTTATATTGACCATATACTAAAATGATATTTTGAATACATTGGGTTAAATAAAATAAATTATTAAAACTAGTTTCATATGTTTCAGTCAGGCAGTATTAATCTATGAAATGAATGCACCTAAACTTAACTTTAGCTCAGACCTTTACTTTGAACCCCAAATATAATTAATTGCCAACATAACCTTTCCATTAGGCTATCTGACAGGCACTCAAACTCAACATGACCAAAATGAAATGTGAGATGTTTTCCCCTAAGCCCAGTAATCCTATTTTAGTGACTGGTCCCATAATAATTTTCCTTATCCTTGTCTCTTCTCCATAGAGCCTCCTCTTTCCACAATTACAGAAATGCAGAATGTCCGGATAGGAAAGCCAGGAACACAACCACCAATCCTATGCTTGAGGCTTCTCTGTAACATACAGTCTTTATGTGGACATCTATAGTGATGGGGACATTTCCTGATAAGGCAGCTTATTCCCATTTATGAACAGCCTCTGTTGTTAGAAAGTTTCCAAATACATTGAGTCAGAATTTGACTTTTTAGAATTTCTATTTATGTTTTAATTCTATCTCCAGAAGCCATGCAAAATAAACTTAATTCCTCTTCTACTTACGAGGATTGTTCAATGTCTTGGCTTTACTGATTTTCTTTTCTCCAAGTTAAATATTTCTTGCTCCATTGACATGGTTTCAACATAATATATTTGCCTTTGAAGAATGTGGTTGTCAAATGGCCCACCAATTTTAATAGTCAAATCACAGACTATAAACAGAATCTTATGATGGTTGCCTTAAATTCTGTGCCTCTGTGAATATCATTTGAGCATATGTTTACTTATTTGGGAATCACATTAAACACAGAAATTTGTTTGTATTGGACTCATTTTTATGTAAATCCACTATATCTTGGATACATAATGTAATTAAGCTGAATCTTATGCATCCTCTTTTTCATGCTTATACATTATATTTAAATGCTGTGATTATATTTGTATGTTGGCCCATTACACTAGCAAGCCTATCTAGACACCACTGATTCTAATTCTTTCACTCACTGTGATTTGTTCTATGTCTTAGATCAATGTTATCAAAAAATTGATTAGTAAACCCATATTTTCATACAAATCATCAGATACAAATATCAAAATGTATACAGAACAGGATGCAAGTCAGAATTCTGTTGTATACTAGACTTCTGTCCAAGTTATGGCATACCATTAATTAGCCCACTCCCAGGCTAAATGGTATGATTATTTAACCAACTAAAGGTGAAAGTGACAGTACTTGCTAAATTCTTTTTCATTTTTACTTCAAATGTTTCCTCTGCTCTGTTCCGTCTTCATTGGGGGCTCCAATTACATTTTTGTTGACCATTTGATGTTGTCACCACTGCTCTTAGGTTTTGTTTTTCTTTCTCTGTTTTTTTATCTTTCTGTGTTTCACTTTGGATAATTTCTATTGATGTTGACATATTTTCAAGCTCATTAATTTATTCCTATGCTGTTTTCATTCTGATGAGCCTGTTGAAGGAACTCATTTGACATGATTTTTTAATTTATAGTTTTCATCTCTCTATTGAGAGTCTGTATTTGTTTATGCAAATTGTCAAACATTTCCATTAGACAAGAGGTTAGTAAAGTTTATTTTTGTAAAGGGCAAGATAGTAAATATTTTAGGCTTTAGTGGCACTACTATGGCCTCATAACTGTTAACTCTGCCATTATGGTGCAAAGATATCCATAAGTAATCAGAAATAAATGGGTATGGCTGTGTTCAATAAAACTTTACTTATGAAAACAAGCAGTAATCTGGATTTGGCCCATAGGCCACTGTTTGCTGACTACTCCTCTAGATCCTTTAAGATATCAATTGTAGTTATTTTAATTTTCTTGTTTGATAGTTCCAGTCATCTCTGAGTCTGGTTACACTGACTACTTTATCTCTTGACAATGGGTTATTTTCTATATTTTCTGTTTGTCTCATAATTTTTTTGTTGAATGTTAGTGATGGTACGCTGAAGAACAGAAGAGACTGAAGTAAATATTATTTACAAAAAGAAGTGGGTACATCTCTGTTAGGCCATTATTTAGAAAATTTAATCAGCCTGGTAAATATTTCAGCTGGATTTTTTTTTTTTGTAGTTGTTAAAATGATTACTTCTAGTGTATTACAAGCCTTCAAAGCTCTCTAATAGTGAACTGCTTTTATCTTGTGCTTTGGGTAAGGAATGGTGCTGAAAGCTTTTTCTCAGTGTTCCAGCTCCACCATGAGCTTTATTATGTACCTGTCCCAGAGGAAGTCTCATGCCTCCTTCTGTCCCTTCCTGGTGGTAGGCTGCTGTTGCTTGTTTCTGAGGGTTGTATTTATGGCATGGGTAGAGAGGAGGAGGTTTTCTTAGGGAATAATACTTGAATTAACTCATATTTCCACATATTTTCTTGCTTAAAAAGGTATTTTAATGATCCAAATAAGTGTTTTGACAAGTTTTCATTTATAGCTACCTCATTGAATTATTGGACTAGTAACTTTAAGAAAGCAAAAATAAGTAGTGATTTTAGACATAATTTTTTTTTGGAATGAAGTACTGGCTCCTGGTAATTGTTGTTTACTCTACAGAGCCTATGAAATCACACATAATTGATTCAATAATATTTTATGGAAACTTGCCAGAAGTCGATGTCAAAAGAACCCATCTCTAGATTACAGAATCAAACGCCCTTTTTTTTTTAACCTGGAATAATATTTTCTCTTCTATAATTTTCTATATCTTCCTCACATTCTCTGGGGTTTAAAGTGGTTTACATAATCACACATTTGAACTTCTCTTAAAGTCTTTTTGTGTAATTTGGCCTAAGCCTTCTTTTAATATTATATTCTTTACTGCACAGATATCATTAAAATTTACGTTACTGATATAGGCAACTGTATTCTTTTTTTATTCAACAAAAGTCTATTCAGTATTGAATACATGTCCAAGTTTTAGGTTAAATGCTTGAGAAACAAATTTGAGTAAAATGTTTTCCCTACCTTCAAGAAGCTCCCAGTCTACATTTGAAGGCAGACATATAACAAATATTTCAGTAGTAGGATATAATAAAAGCAATAATAGGGCAATGACTGGTAAATTATCATGAGGGCTGGGAAAGGGGATTCAAGAAGGTTTTAGAAGTTGGTGATTTCCTCAGAAAGTCTTAAAAACAGTATAGCATTTAGCTTGATACAAGAGACAGGAAAGAGTATTCCAGGTAATGTAAAGACACTTGCAAAGCAGTGAAGGTGGAAAGCACTATGGTGCTTGCATTTGCATATATTCCAGCAATGATGGTACATGGTGGCAGGTAGTGGAAAGAGATGCAGCTGGAGAGGGGGTAGGGCCGGGCTGTGAATGTCATGCTTGCCCATTTAGGAATATTGGGATTTTCTCCTGTAGGTGATTAGGATTAATGGAAGGATTTTAAATAGAGGTAGGGCGTGATCAGATTTACATTTTGCAAAGTGTGTTTGGTTGAGTGAATGCAATGAGTCAATGCAGCTTTATTGTTTAGGCTTTGCAGGCGCAATGCCTAGGACCCATAAGCTTTAAAGGGCCCACAGATTGTTGGGACATGGGCAGGGGGAGGGGAATATTGGCTTCATAACTGGAAAGCTGCCAAATCAAAATTATTTTAAGTGAATGCCTATAAACCATGGAATTATGCTAACTTTTTAACTGTTGCTTAACCAAACTCTTAATAGTTTCATTCAAATTTGGTAAATGTTGTGGAGAATCAGGACTTACAGAGTGTAATCACATAGTAACTTTATTTTAGTTTCTGTGTTTCTTCAAATTCAGTCTCTGGGGTAGCTTTTTCCCTTCTTTTTAGATAAAATATAAAGAAGCTTCCATGGCTTCTCTGGTCATTGTTTGGGAATTAAACATCCTATGGTCACTCTAGTTCCCTAAACACTTTTAGTTCAATAATTAGAAAGATCACTCTCATTGATAAAACTACAAGCATATTTTAAATTAATGTTTTTTTCCCTTGCTTTAGAGCTTTTTTGGGACAATGGCCTGCGTGGACAGAGAGGTTTAATTGGCTTCTTCTGTATTCACCTCTGAAGGTTTTTAATCCATTCTCCACTCACTAACTGACTTTGCATCTTCCAGGGTTGAAGCAGGAGAGGAGAAACCTGGTTAAAAATGGAAATGTAAAAAATGTTCAACTGTTATATGGGAGGTAAGTATACAGCTTGGCAACTAATCAGAATTGAGAGTGAGAGAAAAGAAGCATTGAGAATGATGTCTGGCTTGTGTAACCTGCTAAAGTGGTACCTCTAATTAAATTAGGCTCTGCATTTATTCCTTCAAGAAATATTTACTACCTACCTATATTTACAATTATATAAATAGACATTTTTAATCCTTGAGCAGCTCACAGTCCATTGGAGAGAGTAGTAAACAAACAATTAAAATGTTCTTTGGTAAGAACTTCATCAAAATTATGCCTTGGAGATCATGGGAGCTCAAAGACATATCCCATGTGGTTTGGAGTGAAATCAGAGGAGGCGGCCTCTGGAAATGTGGGTTGGGCAATCCACTTTGGCTGGTCAAGTTATGTGTGAGCTTAGTTTGGCAAATATTGATGCGGGTGCCTGTGAAGATGTGAAAACTAGTGTTAGTCATAACAATGTAGGGCTAAGGAAAGGGTTTGATTTACTTCAGAAGTTTAGGATTTATCAGCATATAGGTGTAAGCAGATAGAAGGAGGTACATCATCTAGGGAAAATATTAACTCTCTTGCTAATGTTCATGTGGGGTACAACAGAGGCATGGAGAATGTGTTAGAGATAAGTAGGAGAAGGATGCTGGGGAGAACTGGTAAGAGGAATAGGAGAACATTAAAAGAGAGGAGTTGTAGAAGCCAAAGGAGAAGAACTTTTCAGGTAGAAGAGACTTATTGTTACTGTAAATGCTGCCAGGGGCTCAAGTGTTGGGTAGAGGAACCAGCAGAGTCGCTGATCAGAGAGACCTGGATCTTCCTTAGCTCCTACTTTAACAAGCTGTGACTTGGGACAAGTCATCTAACCATTCAGCAGCAAACTTGGTCTTTGTGCTCTTTGAATTGTGTCATAGAGCACAGAGTGTTGATTCTTTTTCCAGAAGAGCCACATTCATCCTTTGTGCTGAAAGGATACCAAAACATTGTGTCCAGAGACCCTTCCCTACCTTCCCTGACCTCTGTGTATTTCTTCTCAGCACCTCCTCCCACATTATCCAAATCATTTGATTTCTGACTCCCTGCCTCTCTCTAGGTTCCCCCATCCTATAATTCAAGGCTCCTGGCATGTGGAGCTGCACACAGATGTTTCCGTCCCGTGAGTGCTTGACTGTTTCTGAGGCAATGTCTCTGAGCAGGTGTTCTGGTGTGTACCTCCTGCTTTTTCTGCTGCTGTGTTTTCTGTGCAAACACCAGATTGCATTGCTGTTTTCTTCTATCTGGAGAAAACCCAATTCATGATGATGATGGAATAGGTTGTGCTTTCGGGCTGTTAGATGGTGCAGTGGTTTTGCAGAACAGAGTGTTAGGCCAAAAAGGCCCAGGGAGTGCAGTTTTGAGCTACGACTTTATCTGCTCATGACCTGCTGTCTGTGGCATGTCTTCTATTTGGCTGGTGTTCTACAAGAATATCTTTTTTCTTGACTTCCTACCCATGCCCTGTATTCCTGTGTGTCTCCTAGCTCTTTTGTTTTTTGAGCTGGAGTTTTCCTCTGGTTGCCCATGCTGGAGTGCAATGATGCATCTCAGCTCGCTGCAACCTCCACCTCCTGGGTTGAAGAGATTCTCCTGTCTCAGCCTCTGGAGTAGCTGGGATTACAGGTGCGTGCCACCATGCCTGGCTAATTTTTGTATTTTTAGTAGAGACAGGGTTTCATCATATTGGTCAGGTGGTCTTGAACTCCTGACCTCAAATGATCCGCCCGCCTCAGCTTCCCAAAGTCCTGAGATTACAGGCTTGAGCTATCACGCCTGGCTGTCTCCTAGGTCTTTGGTATTTCTTCACCCTCACATGAGCCTTCCCAAACATGCTGGGTTCTTTATGTCCTGACAACATGTGAGGTTAGAAGATGGAGTCAAAGAGTCTATGGAATCATTGCACTTTACAATAATAGATGTGAAGAGCCTTGGTGAAAATAGGGAAGAAGCAGGGTTACCTGCTGGGCCTGCTTGCAGAAGGGTGAACTGACCACACGAAGGTCAACAGTGAGCGTGTTACAGTGGCCTGACTTCCTTTTCTCCACTTTCTCTTTGTTTGTAAACTTGCCTTTGCTTCCTGAGAATTTGACTGTAGCAAGGGACCCAGGGATATGGAAGACAAACTCCTGCTTTCAAAGAGGATTCTGTTTTACCTTACCTCCTGATTGCCCTTTGGGAATTCTTTATTTTGTCAAGAGCTTTTCATTCTTGCCTTTGTTCCATTTATGGCAAGTGAACACACTTTTCATCCTTGTGTGATAAAATGAGTTGCATTCACCTGACACTGGCTGCCTCTCCTTATTGGAAATAACAATCTTCTTGAAGCTGCTCATGGTTCCTACCCACATGCCTATAGACGGAGCTTATCCAGAGGCATTTGTTTGAATGTTTTAAGTAGAAACTTGGAGTGTTAGGAAGAGATGCCAGAGGGAATGGTGGTGAAGTCAGAGGAACCAAAGGAGACTCACAAATCAACCAGCCTAAAACTCTACCCATATCCAGACAAGTCAACTCGCTGATGAGAGACAGTAGTGGAACTCAGACCTGAGTAATCTTACGGCCACCCGTGTGAAGTATATTTTACAATCCAGGCTTTTCTCACTTTACATAGCCGATCATGTTCTGAAAACTTCTATGCAACTTAGTTATTATTTTAGATGCTTGAGGGGAACATTTTCTCTTTGAGGAAAGCCAGTAATACATTTACTTACGAAGTGAGGGTACGACATTGGGAAAAATATATGAACTTTAGAAGCAGGCACACCTGAATCAAACCATGGCTTTATCACTTCATTCATTGATTTATTCAGCCATTCATTCACTCAGAAATGTTTATCAAGAGCATTCACTATTGCAGGCATAATGCCAAGAATGAGGGAGATGACACTGGTGCATTTTCCATGTCAGCTTGGATAATTTATTAACTTCTTTCAGCCTCAATTTCTCATCTATAAAATATGAACACCATTACTTACCTTGCAGGTTTTCATGAAAGTTGAAATAAGGATACAGTTTCTGGCATATATCAAATTTTTTATATTGAGGATGATAATTATCTGAGTAATATCCCATTTCATATATTATATGAGTTTTTTTTTAAGTGAAGACCACCTATTTACAATGACTTATGATAATGTTATTCTTACCAAGGTTCCCTGAGTAAACATTTATCTTTCACTAATAGATTAAACTTTTACTCACTCAAACTCATTGAGGTGGGGATTTCAGAAATCAAGTCAACTTGCAAATGTTATGTCTATTACTGGAATTGGCTTCCTCCTCCATAGAAGAGCTCTAAAAGACCATAGGACCGGAAGTCCCTAGGCATGGCTTTATCTTAGTTTTGCAGCTACACAACCTGGGTTTTCTTTGTTTTACTTGTCTTTGGATTCCACTTTCTCCATCTGTGAAATATTTATAATAATAATTTCCTTGCCAACTTTGTAGTGATTTTGTAGAGATTAAATGCAATAGATGATAGTGCATTTTAATACTTTAATTGTATAAGTTTTTTGTTTTTTTTTCTTATTTTTAAGGGAAGAATGAGAATAACTAGGAATCCCTTGCTCAGTTTTATGTCTTCTTGCAAATTATCCTATTATATTACCTTTTGTAAATTTGCACACTCAGATTTCTGTTCTGAATGACAAGCAATGATGGTGGATCCTAATTTGAGGAAGGAGGGTTTGCCAAAGTTTAAATTTATAAGCCAGATACATATGAAAATAAAAGTTTACATTAGGAAGTGTTTATTTTACAAAAGGGTTTCTTTGACTTTCATAAACTGATAAGGACCAACAGCAATGCATTTAAAGCATGGGTTTAATGTTTTAGGAATAAAACTCTTGCACAATTTGAATTATATCTGCACAGTAACATTAGAGTACAGGTTAACAGTTGGATTTTTTTGGTCCCATTTTCCAGTTAAGAGTACACAGTAATGAGATGAAGAAGTCCCCACACCAACATGAAACTCTACTGAGTTCATGGCTATATGTTTAGCATAGGACTTTGGCTTTAGGTTTGTTTTGAATAAATGCCAAAGTAACCTTTATAGTTAAGAGGTCTAGAAAGAAATTAAGTCAAACAGATTCTAAAATATAATCATTCAGTCCATAAGTCTGCCGTGAGTGCCTGTTGTGGGTACTTGGCCCCTGCTAGGAGATGTGCAGTTCAGAAGGCTTTACTGAAGAAGTGTCATTTGAGTTGAATCTTGAAAGTTGTGTAGGTATTGACCAAGTGACAAAGGGATCTAAGGGAAAACCAGCCACAAAGGACTGTATGACCAACTTAGAAGGGTGCTAGAACCTAGGCAGCTGGTTTGAGTGTCGCGTGCGTGTAGAGAAACTGGTGGGGGAGACTGGAGAGATAGCCAGGAACCAAACTGAGGGAGCCTCCTAGGCCATGTTGTAAAGTTTCAATAGATGCAGACAAAGGAGTGAGTGCTTGATAAAACAGCCACCAGCCCATTCTACTCCAAACATTCCCTCTATTAATTTTCTCACTGAGCACAGGCAATGGCTATTTTGTTATTATGCAGAAGGGATTATAATTTCTTTGCTAAATATTGTACTCCTTGGCCCAGAATGCTGATGAGCTAAGGTTTATGTAGACATGCTCCCGCCTGGATAAGTCATGTTTAATGTCTTATACCCATTAATTTACCGTAATGATAAAGTATGTGGATTATTTTCTTTCTTGAAGTGCTTACTGTCTACTTAGTGTGTACAGCATTTATGGGGTTATTAAAATGTTATTATGGAATCATATTAACCAGGGTTGGGAGTGTACCTGATCTCTAAGAATGTACCAGATAGCACAGGTAAAGCCAGTCAGCTCTGAGTTGGGGGCCCAGAAGAGAAGAGAAACTGGGGGTCAAAGAGCAAAGTCGTGAACTGATGAAGGTTCTGAAGGGGAGCTTGGTGACAGAAACAAGGAATGATAGAAAATCCAAAAGCTCAAGACCAGGACTCTAAATTGATTTTGGAAGCGCTTAGAAATAGACTAAATTGCAAATACAAATTCTTGTTGCTGTGCAAAAGCTTCTTTGGTGGGAGCCATCTGGAGACTACCTTTACCCAACGCAAAGCCAGGTATCAAGCTACAAGGCTGGGAGGGCTTGAGCTTGCCGGAGACTGCAGAAATACAAAAGAAAAGTGTTCCAAGAAAAGTCAGAAGTTGTTGGCTGTGGCAGTTGGTGACAGACTGAATGCAGGGAGCAAAGAAAAGTGGAATCCAATCTGGGAGGACTCCTCAGCTACTTGGCTGCCAGGACCCAGCAGGGAATGGCACTGCTCCATGTTTTCTTGTTGTTAATCATTTTTCTCATTTTCCCTAGTTGTTAACCCTGGGACCATACTAATCAACTCCTCGTTTCTCTGGTATCAGCAGCCTGCCCGTGGCTTACATGGTTCCTTGCTTATTACAGCTGAGTTTAATCATTGTCCAGACTGAGTTCCATGTCTTCTTTGAAATTTCACCCCTGCTTCAGTTCGTGTTTTACCAGGAAATGTAGCTGTGTAGAAAGGGAAAGAATCTGTCCAGAGACTGGAGAGACAGGAAGGGAAAGTCCTCATCTAGAAAAAGGAGATAGGACTGCAGGGTGACATACGGAAGATTTCCCCCCACCCCTGCCCCATGTCTAAGACAGTAATGGAAAAGATCAGGAAAAAAAAAAATCAATGCTGTTTTTGACTTGCTGCATTTCTTCTTTTTCTCATTGAATGAAGTAGAATCCAGATAAGTGAACTAGAGAGCATAAAAGTTGTGTTTTTTTTATTAAATCAAAAGTCTCCAAATGCAGTCAACTTGACATTTAAGTAGGAATTATCTGGAAGTTATGTTTGGCCTCTCCTCCCATCTTTGTCTGCACAGCCTCCTTCCTTCTAGGAGTCCTTCCTATTTCAGAAACAGTGTGTGGAGGAGGCAGAACTAAGTCAATCATGGGTTCTTCTATTACTAGAAACTGTCATGCTGGCCAACATCACTTGATGCTGTAAGACATCAGAGATGTTATTTATCGCTCTACTCTCTAAAGTTGTCTAATTTGGAGATGGCAAAGATTAAAATCAGTTCCTTAGAGACCAGACCAGCTCTCAAAATCTTAAGAGAATTTATGAATAGATATGGGTATATTTTATTTCCAGAAAATTCTGTCAGCTATTCTGATACCTTGAGGAATACTTAAGAGAATGGAGTATTTTTCTTCACTATACAAACATCCCATTATGTTTCCCATTTTAAAAATAAATAAACCTATATATCTTGACCTCATTTTTCACTTAACCATCTCATTTTGCTCCTTTAAAAGTCTCCTCAAAAGAATTATCTCTAGTAAACATTGTTCGTAAGTTTTCTCTTTCTGTTATTCCTTGAATTCACCCAAATTAGGCTTTCAGATCCACCACTTCAATAAAAATTGCTCTTCTCAAGATTACCAGGAACTCTGTTTGATAAATCTTGTAATTACTTCCTAGTCTTTGCCCTGTTGGTCTATCAGCAGCATTTGATACAATCTGTTACCTTTTCCACTGAATACACTTTCCTAATTTGACTTCCAGGCAAAACATGTACTCTCAGTTTTCCTCCAACCTCACAACTGCTCCTTCTCAGTTTTCATCAGTGGTTACTTCCTATCTCCATTACTTTTTACAATTTTTTATTTATTTAAAAACAATTTGAAGTTTTTTTTTAGCTTTTAAGTTTGGGGGTACATGCGAAGGTTTGTTACATAGGGAAATGTGTGTCACGGGCGTTTGTTGTATGTATTATTTCATCACCCTTCTCAATGTTGGAGTGTTGTAATTTTCTGCACCTGGTTCTTTTCATCCCTCTATCTATGCTTATCTCTCCATGATTTCATTCAACTACATGGTTTTATATATCGCCTACAAAACATGACTTCCAAGTTTCTGTTCCCAGTCTGGATCTTCTTCCTGAGTTCCACACTTATATATGTCCAACTGACTACTCAGTATTCCCACTTAGATGTTTGATAGAAATCCTAAAACTAATATGTTCAAAACTCCTCCTGATATGTTTCCAAAATCTAGCTCCTCTTGGAATTTTCTTTTTCTCAGATAATGGCAAGACCTTCCATCTGGTTGTGTAAGCAAAAGAGCTAACTGGCACCCTTGACTCCTTTGTTTCAGGGCCCACAGCTCACCATCTGCAAATCCTACTGATTCTACTTTTGAAATATATTTGAGATTGGATCACTTCTCGCTGACACCACTGTTGCCATTCTGCCCCATGTCGTTATTTTGGCTCTGGACTATTGTATTATAGTTTATTCTCTGAAGAGCAGAGAATAAGGATGAACACACATTCCCATAGAGTCCAGAAGATAATGTAGGTTACTGGTTCAGTGATTTCGGAATGAGGTGAAAAGTCTCTTGAATGGCCTCAGCAGGAATGATACATACACAGAGGACTGTGCCTGTTATTTTTGCCCATATTCCCACCTGCCAGCCTCAGATGCATTCTCCACAATTTTGTGTCCTGCTCTGTACTTCAGAAGCCTGACTTCTATGGTGTACATCTGCTAGGCTCTCTTACCCTCACTCTGTTTGAGTTCAGGCAAATGGAAGAAATGGGCAGGGTCTCAGGGGACAAGAGCATGGAAAGTCAGAGTATCACTTACCTGCACCATCCCTGCACCCCCACCACACACCTGACGGTGACTGCTGCTCAGACACAGTGCATGCCACACTGCCTTTATTGCACTGTTGGATCTTTCTCTGTGCTTTGGAAACAGCGTTTCCTCCCCGAGCTCCTTCAACATCAGAAAGTTAATAGCTTTCTTCTGTTGCCCATCCCTGCTAGTCTCATGTTTCTTGATAGTTCCTTTAGTGCTGTCCAAACCTCTTTAAATAATCTCTTCATTAGGTTCTTTCTGGTAAACTTTTCGGAGGCTGTCTTCTATTTCCTGCTGAGACCCTGGCTAACATAGGTAGAATTACTTTTTCATTGTAAAATACATATTAAATTAATGAATTTATTACATTTGATGAAAATAAAGTGTTATGAAACATGTGACTCATGGAAATGTAAGAATATGATAATCTAGAAGGAAGAAAAATGATCATCCTTAACTACTATACCACTAGGTAATCACTGTCAACATTTTGATAATTTTATTTTAGGGCTTCAATTTATAAAAAGAAGTGTATTGTAGAAAATTTGTATTATAGAGAAGATACAAAGAACAACAAAATCAAAAGTTCTATCATTTAAAAATAAGCTTGGAAAGATTTAATTTTTTAAGAATCTTTTTTATTTGAATTTTAATATAGGTTCTAGTTTACATGGTGATTTTAAAGCATAGTCAATACAGATCAGTCACAAACAGGACAAAGAGTAAATAAAGAAAGGCTAGGCTGGGCACGGTGGCTCAAGCCTGTAATCCCAGCACTTTGGGAGGCTGAGGTGGGTGGATCACCTGAGGTTAGGAGTTTGAGACCAGCCTGGCCAACATGGTGAAACCCGTCTCTACTGAAAATACGAAAATTAGCAGGGCGTGGTGGCGTGCGTCTGTGATCCCAGCTACTCAGGAGGCTGAGGCAGAAGAATCACTTGAACCCAGGAGGCAGAGGTTTCAGTGATCCAGGATCGTGCCATTGCACTACAGACTGGGTGACAAGAGCGAGACACTGTCTCAAAAAATAAATACATACATACATAAAAAAAAAAACCCAGAAAGGCTTTAAATAATATCAACCACTGGTTAGTTTTTATTATTCTCTCTTAATGTAAAAAAAAAAAAAAAAAAATTACTCTAGCCCTTAAGTAGGAGCTTAAATTACAAAAATAAGTTATTCAATTACCTTGATATAAGAGCTACTTCTATATATGCTTTGTGTAACTGTGCTTTTTGGAGAAGAGAGAAAGACTTGATTTGGTGATTTTCCCAGTAGTAAACTAAAAACTTGTAAAAACTGTAACTGTTGTTCATGTTCTTACTCACAGTGCAGTCATTGCTGTGTCTTCAAACAGGTTCCCACACAAGTGAGATGCAGGCTGTATGTCAAAAAAAATTTCCTGGTTCTAGGAAGAGAAGAAAAATTGCTGAGGAGTCACTCTATGAAGCATAACAGGCCCAATTTTGTACCTAGGATACATGATAGAAATTTCAGCATATAAATAAATTGATTCTGAATTATTGGTCCAACTGAGCAATGCAAGGCCTCAAATTGTTTTTTTGTTTTTTTGTTTTTTGCTTTTTGTTTGTTTTTTTTTTTTTTTTGAAACAGGATCTCCCTCTGTTGCCCAGGCTGGAGTGCAGTGGTGGGATCTCAGTCACTGCATCCTCCACCTTCTGGGTTCAAGTGATTCTCCTGCCTCAGCCTCCCCAGTAACTGGGACTACAGGTGCCCAACACCACACGTGGCTAATTTTTTGTATTTTAATAGAGATAAGGTTTCGCCATGTTGCCCAGGGTAGTCTCGAACTCCTGAGCTCAGGCAATCCACCTGCCTCCGCCTCCCAAAGTGTTGGGATTACAGGCATGAGCCACCGTGTCCAGCCTCAAATTGTTTTAAATCATAACTTTCCTCATGAAGGTTTATTAATTTTGATTTTCACTTAGTCATTTAGTATGTCTTCAAATAATTATTTCAAAGAAGGCAGATATATCAATGCTGGCTCCCTCTCTGTTGCTCTAAGACATGAAAGACAATTACTTGTGTATGTAATTATGTTCCAATATTTTTTCTGCAAAATTTTAGGTATTTTGTATTTTTTGATATAGCATAATGAAAAAAGAAGACATCAGCAGATTCCTGTTTCTTTATAATGCATAGTATCCAGTATCTTTGTTAAAAAAATTTGTAATTTATAATTTTTATGGACAATTTAAGATGATTTCTAGGTGTTTAGATATGGCTTGTTTTTCCCATTGATTTTACCAAGAATGTACTATAATCCCTGTTAATCAATATATAACATGTTATCTGATAAATTATTAGATAGTTTTAGAGATGTGAGTTTCCATTCACATCTCTAAAAATTTTTTTTCTTAATTATGGATTCATTACTAAATATTTTTTCTTAAAATTATATTAAGATTATTATATTTATGTCACTATTATATATAATATATATTACATTAATATTACATTATTACAATAATATAATTGTATTATATTTTCTTAAAATATTTTATTATATACTAATCTATGAAGAATGTATGTTCCTCATATACATATTAGATATTATCTAAATAATAATAATGTATATTCTTCACAGATTAGATCTCTATCATTTTCTCCCTTGTTATTTTCATTTCCTTTTCATTTTCTTCCCTATTATCCAGGAACTTCTCAAGATTGTTTTAATGTCTGATTTGATTTTTTGCAGAGTCAAATCTGCTTTTTACTGCCTACAGTGTGGATTTTCATTCTGCACTTCCATTTTGATTTTACTTATAATAAAATCACCCATACTCTTGGTATTTTATGTTAACTTTGACCTGTGTTGTTATGTTTCCTTCTGCTCACATTTCTTATAGGCATTGTATTATTTTCTTATGATGAATATCGACTAATTTTATAAAATTATCTTCTGAATCCTATACTAGATAGTTTTCAGAAGTCTACTTTTCCTGTTTGTTTGTATTTTGTGTTTTGAAGTCTGAACTAGAAACAGTTATTTGGACTTAACATTTGCATTGTATGGACTTCCCATGGCCTTACTGTTAGTCCATTTGGGTACTTGTAAAATAATCTGAGGTTTACAGTTTGGGGAAAAGTTGATGTTCTTATATCTTAGCCCAAGGCCTAGTTGCTTTTTTAAAAATAAGTTTTATTGAGGCATAATTTATGTCCAACAAACGACATCCATTTAAAGTCTACAATTCAGTGAGTATTGACAGAGCTATGCACCGTGAACCACCACCAAACCCAAGACACAAAGTAATTCCATCACTCCCTAAAATGGTTTCTCATGCCTCTTTGCAGTCTAGGCCTCCTTCCATCCTCAGGTTTTATTTCTGTCACTTTAGCTTAAAATTTTCTAAACTTTCATGTAAGTGCAATAATATAGTAGGTAATCTTTGCTTTTTGGTTGCTTTCAGTTAGTATAATGATTCTTAATTTCATCCATGTTGTTTCATGTATCAACAGTTCTTTTCATTGAGTAGCATACTATTGTATAATGTACCATCTTTTTATTTATTTGTTTATTGATGAACATATGGTTACATGATTTTTAACAACTAGTGATGAAATAACTGGCATCTATATGGAGAAAAAATGAACTTTAACTCTTATCTCATGCCATCTACAAAAATTGACTCTGAATAGATTATAGACTTTTTAGTATAAGAGCTAATCCTACAAAACTTCTGGAAGAAAACACAGGAAAAATCTTTGTCACAATCACTTAGCAATAATATCTTAAACAGAACATGAATTATAAAAGAAAAACTTGATAAATTAGCCCTCATCAAAATTTTTTTAACAAATCGTTCTCCCAGAAGACACAATTAAGAAAATGAAAAGATAGCTATAGACTAAGAGAAATTATTTGCAAATTATATGTTTGATAAAGTGATTGTATCTAGAGTATGTAATGAACCCTTAACAACTCAGTAATAAGGAGACAACCCAATGGGTAAAACATTCAAACTGACACTTTATTGAAGAAATATGAATGCCAATAAGTATGCAAAAAGGTACTCAGTGCTAATCATCAGAAAAATGCAAATTAAAATCACAACAAGAGCTTGTTGGGAGCTTCTAGCAGGGGAGTACAGCTACTCATATACCCTTAACGGAAGAACAATCCTCCTCTGTTGAGGAAGGTTGTCCACTTTGACCTAGTGCATAACGGTGGGAGGGACACACATGATCTGGTGATGGGGGAAAGGGACACCCACCTAGCCAGCCAGATCAGTGAATCAACTCTGGCAATCAATGAGGTGACAGATATGGCAGCCAGTTCACTCCTGTTATACATATACACAATGGAGAACTATTTAGCCATAAAAAAGAATGAGATCATGTCATTTGCAACAACATGGATGGAATTGGAGGTCATTATGTTAAGTGAAATAAACCTGACACAAAAATATAATCTTTGCATGTTCTCACTTATTTGTGGGAGCTAAAAATTAAGATAATTGAATTCATGGAGATAGAAAGGAGAAGCATGGTTGCCAGAGGCTGAGAAGGATTGGCTTGAGGGCAATGTAGAGACGGTTAATGGACACAAAAACAGAAAGAATGAATAAGATCTAGTATTTGCTAGCACAACAGGGTTACTATAATCAGAAATAATTTAATTGTACATTTAAAAATAAAGAGTACAAGTTAATTGTTTACAACAGAAAGGATAAAGGCTTGAGGTGATGGATACCCCATTTATCCTGATGTGATTATTATGCATTGCATGCCCGTATTAAAATATCTCATGTAACCCATAAATATATACACTTATTTTATACCCATAAAAATTAAGAAAACATAAAAGAAATGAGGGTGATTATTGGATTGGGTATGCCCAAAGTTACAGTTAGTATCTGAACTTGCAGTTGGTGTCCAAAGTGAGGGTGGTCTTGGGAACTCCCAAACTGCCAAAGTGTTTTGCATTTGATCATAGTGGTGGTAGCATGAGTCAATTTGTCAAAAGTCATAGAACTGTACACCAATCAGTGAAATTTACATGTAAACTAGAAAATAAATAAAAAATGGAAAATTAAAAAACATGGTAAGATGCCAGCACATACCTATTAGAATAGTTAAAATGTAAATGACTAACAATATCAGGTGGTGATACGAATGTGGAGCAACTGGAACTCTCATGTACTCCTGATGGGAATGCAAAATGGTACAGTTCTTCTAAAAATCAACTTGCCAGTTTCTTGTAAAGTTACACTTACCATAGACATAACAAAAACATATGTCCACATAAATACTTGTATATGCTTGAATGTTCATCACACTGTTTTCCATCATAGCTACCACCTGGAAACTACCTAAATATTCTTTAAGTGATGAATATACAAATTAATTGTAATACATTCCTACTATAGCAATAGTACTCAGTCATAAACTGTTCCACAAAGCAACATAGATGAATTCCAAAAATATTTTGTGCAATGAAAGCACATGACAAAATTCT
The DNA here is from genome assembly GCF_000001405.40 of Homo sapiens. Classification (NCBI taxonomy): domain Eukaryota; kingdom Metazoa; phylum Chordata; class Mammalia; order Primates; family Hominidae; genus Homo; species Homo sapiens. Next base: position 22,860,376 of record NC_000002.12, on the reverse strand, counting down.
ATATGCTGTGTAATTCCATTTATATGACATTTTAGAAAAACCAAAACTATAGTGATGGAGAGCAGATCATTGGTTTTCTGCAGCTGGTATGTGTATTTGGAGATGGGGATTTACTGCAAAGGAGTAAGAAGATTTTTTGGATGGTAGAAATTTTCTACATCTTGATTGTGGTGGTGGTGGCATGAATTTATACAGATGCCAGAATTCATCAAACTGTAAACATAGAATAAGTGAATTTTGTTGTATGTAAATTTTACCTTAATTAAACTCAGTGAAAAGTCATTGTCTACTTGAGTTTAATATTTTTACTGGTAAGTTGTATTTTTCAAGGAAATATATTGTCTAATTTTCACTTTTGGAATAAAGCTGTTACTAGTACTTCCTTATGACATATAAAAATCTCTTTCATATTGAATTCCATGTTCTCCATTGAATAATGTTTATTAGTGTCATTCCTTTATCACATTTAACAAAATTTTATTTTTTGCTTTTTTAAAGTGTTTTCAAGGAACCAATTTTGACACTGTTGCAACTCTCTTTATATTCATATTCTATTTTTATTTCTATTAGTTTTGTTCTCTTAAATTGAGTTTATTTTATTATGTTGATTTTATTTCTTAAGGTGGATGATTTAGACCATTAATTTTCACCCTTTTTTCCTTTTTTCTAATGTAAGGGTATACATTTCCTAATAAACACTGTGCTAGCTTTTTCTCTCATGTTTAATAAGTAGTTTTTTTCTTTAAACTTCTAATTTCTATTTTTCATTATAATGTTTATGGTGCATGAGTTGTCACAAATGTATTTTATAGTTATCTTGCTGCTATTGAATCCTAACTTAGTGGTATTATGGTCAAGTCTGTATTCTTCATTCAATGAGTATTTATTGAGGTTTACCATGTTCAAGGCACTCTTTTAGGTGTTGAGATTTCTTCAATGTATAAAGTACACAAATTCCTAATTCTTTGGAGCTTATATTCTCAAATGGGGAGAGAGGCAGTAAATGTAATTAGTGAGGAGGAATTTTAGAAGGCATTAAGAAGTATGTAAATATAAAAGCAAGGGAAAGGAGCTTGGCCTTGCTCGATGTGTGTGTGTGTCCATGTGTGCACACTTAATGCATGTAGTCTGTGTGTGTTACGTGTGTTGTGTTAGGGAGATGGGGAAATCACTTTAAATAGGGTGGTCAGAGAAAGCCTTTCCAAGAAGGTGAGATTTGGGTACACCTTGAAAGAGAAAAGGGATTCTCCTTAGGGGAATATTCTAGTCAAAAGGAACATCCAGGGGACAACCTTTGAGGCAAGATCATGTCTGGTATGTCAGAAGGGGCCAGTGTGACTGCAGCAGAGATTAAGGGGAAGTGGTAGAGGAGCGGGCCAGAGAAAGGAGGGATGGGGACGGTTAATGTCACTCAGGCTTGGCAAGAGAACCTAAGATCTTTTATTTTTATCTGATCTTCATGAAAGAATTATTCCCTCAAAAAGTACTTTATTTTTCAGAAATTATTTACAGAAATGGCTTTATTCTGACATCAGGGAGTAATTAGATGATTCTGATGGCGTAGAACCTTTTGGGTTCTTGTGAAGACTTTGGCAGTAGTCACTTATTCAGTGTTAAACCCAAGATCTTGCTCTCTTTCAATCTAATCTTTGTGTAGGAATCATCCATTCATTTAGTCAACAATATTTATTTTTTAAAAAGTTATTTATATGAATATTCTTATACTGACTTCAAGGAGATTTAGATGAATCAACATGCAGTGATTCCATGTGGTCATTTCATCTTAGAGATTTGAAGGACTTCAGCAGTCATTACCACAACAGGTCATTCTCTGACTTCTGCTTGAACAGTTTCCAGTGGTTTCACTCCTGTTTGTAGCTGACTCCATTACTGGACCATTTTAAATTTTGCCAGTTTACCTTGCAACCCATTATATATTTGAAAATAATTCCTACATTCCTCTTGAGTCATCTCACCCTTATATTCTAGATCTTTCTTCTTGTGGACCTAATGTTCCAGACTCCTTGCCACTTTCACCCTCTTTTCTACATGTCTATGTTAGAAAAATAGTCTTAAATATGCATTTTTGCCAATTTTTTTTCCTAGGTAAAACTCTTAACTGTGGGTGTAGACCAAAATCAAGTAGATCCTAGTGTTGGTGTTAATACGAAATATTTTGGCACATTATAGGAAGTGTTTCCTTCTGTCACAGAAAAGTTCTATAATAGATCTTCCTTCAGTCCTGGTGAAATTGATGAATTACTTCAACTTAATTGAATGTATGTAGTTTCTTCACCGTTTGAGATCCTAAGAACCAAGCTTAGCCATGAGTTAAGATCTTGCTGTTTGATTCCATCTGGGTTTATGATCTGCACCTCCCCAAGTGGTCAGCATGTTGCAAAATCAAAGAGGCTAGGGATAACCCTGGGTTAGTTTCTTATTCACGATATGGATGAAGTTAAGATAAACCTGATGAGGTGGATCTTTTCCTGTTGTATCTTTCCCACTGGAGGATACTTAAAAATATGATGATAAATATCACTTTCCCTGAGAGCCATGTAAATTCGTTTTGTTTTGGAAAGACCTTTAATTTATTGAAAAGTTAAGTTGGCAGCAGAAGCTCTCAAACTATATATAAACCATCTGTTCACTCATCCAGTCCTCTCCACCCAACAAAGTTTCACTTTATACTTGGGAAGGTCTTCCAGCATTACAGGGGATATTTCTTCCTTGGAATATCATTTTAGACCTTTTGAAATCCCATCTGTCATTCAAGGTTTGGCTAAAAATCATTTCAGTATGAAATTTTCCTTAGCTTTCAGCCAGAGTAGTACTTCATTTCCTTAGGTGCGAAGATCCTCAAGGGTGTCTTACCCATAGCATCTATCTTACTTCTGTGGTGTCAAAATTATTTCTATCTATACACGATCAGGCTTCCATTCCCAACTCTGCCTCCATATTGAGGATCCTGGTAGACGTTACTCTCTCTTTTTTTCTTGATTGTCTAACATGTTAATACCCTTCCTCTGGTGGAATTTATTGTCATGTAAGTTATAGTGAGAGGCCCTGCTTCTGACAATGGAGGACAAAAGTCTGGAAAATCATCTCCCATCCCAACAGTAGGGCATAGGCACATGACTTGAATTAGCTGATAGTGTGGTGCTATTTAGAACCTTAAATTGAAGCCCTGACACCCATAACTAAGGGTTGTTGAAAACTGATTTCAGCCATGGTGATGGCAGGAGCCTTGTGGGGATCATGGCTCTGGCTCACCTTGAGGGGATCATGGCTGTAGTTCAACTTGTGGGGATCATGGCTCTGGCTCACCTTGAGGGGATCATGGCTGTAGTTCAACTTGTGGGGATCATGGCTCTGGCTCACCCTGTGGGGATCATGGCTCTGGTTCAGCAGTGGCCTCTCATCACCAATGGTGACATCCATGGTGTCTCATCCAGGGGACACCTCTGGACCTGGTGCCTATTTTCTGAGGCTGGCTCTTGGCTTTCATGGTTGTAATTGCAAATGATCTAGCACTCTTCTAATAAACAACTTTTCAGTTCATTTTTGTTGTTTGCAACTGATAATCCTAACTGGTAGAAGAAGAATATTTTATCCAGATTTGATTATGATATATATAGTATATGCTGAATCAGTGTTTGTTGAATTATTTAGATCATGGGAAATATAATGTCTATGAGAGCCAATGGAGGATTGTCAGGCCAATCTTTTCCCTCAACTAAACTGTCATGTTAAATTTCAGAGTGTGAAACTCTGGACTGGGTTTTGGAATAGTCTTTCTCCCTCTACCCTCTTGTTTGCTTCTGAATGTAGGATCTCAGTATAGATTTTCAGCAGTTTACAGATTAGCCTGTTACCATTTTAACTTTTACAGAATTGTTGTGTTCGATTGTGCTGGGAATCTCAAGCCTGAGAGCCAGTATACGTTTGGATTCCCAGAAAACTGAAGTTGCTAAAGAATTTAAAGTGCAGGAGGGACATAACCTAGTGTATTACTCCTTCCTCCTCCTGTGTGGCCTAGAGTGGCTGCTTTGGTTTTCTAAGCCCCAGGAACCCAGGCTCAGAGGAGAGAGAGTGGTGTTTGGTGGTTGCTCCCTTACACGGTTTTGACTGGCCCTAATTTTGCCAAGAAATTTGTAGATAAGAGCTGTCATCAGTGTTTCACTGAAATCAGAAGTGCAGGGGAAAAACAGCCCTCTGTTTTCTGTAACCAGACCTACAGTGCACAGATACCTCTTGGGTATGAAAAATGGCCTGAGGGTTCCTGGTGATTTCACTGCTCTGCTGGCTTGTCACCTCCTGCCTGGGGTCCCTGGGCTCTGGCAGAGCCAAGTGTGTTGGGAGGGATGAGAACGTCAGCCCGTCTGGAGGCTTCACCCCCTGACAGCGAGTGATGAGCATCCTAATGGACCTGTGATGGCTGTGGCCCTGCCTGGAGGCTTGGCATCTGCTCAGCAGCTGCCGCAATACCGCGCTGTTGGCCTTCCCCACAGCCTCGGGGGAGCCCCGCTCCAGGCTTGTGCCACTCCACTGACTCCAGAAAGCTGTACGTTTCCACCATGGGGAGTGAGATAAGTGTGTTTATCAACTGCCAGGCTTGGAATGAGAGGCTTCTCCTTATGGAAATGCATCAGTCACTTCTCATGACTGACCTTTTGTGGTAGTTCTTCTTGTAAATGATGTTTTGCTTTTCCTGATTGCAGAAAAAAATGAGAGCTTCATAATTAAGCGTGTGGTAGACAATATGGTAGTGGCTCTCTGTTTTCCCAGTCATCTCAAAACAGCATTCTGCAGTAAGGTTTGGGGTAGCAGCTTTGGAAAAGATGAGACAGATTGAGAATTCCTCCAGGCTTCCTGGCTACAGTTGTCCAAACAGATAGTAGGTGATTTCTATATGACACTTGACCTGAAAGAATGCCCCAGGTTTTTGACCAGGAATCTTCCATATATCAGTTTTAAGTGGAAAACCCCACTGAGGCCTCCTGTGTTTATTCTACGTAGTGTACCATGGAGCCTAAGCGCACAGCTTGCATTTCAAAATTGGAACAAAGGGACATTTGTTCTCTTTCCTGAATGGCTACAAAGCATTTCTGAGACCATTGTGAGGCATAATTATGTTGATTTGACTTAGGCCAGAATCAATGGATTGTTTTCCTGAGAAAGATGACTTTCACTTCTCTACCCACCTGCCCCCCACCCCACCACATCTCCTTTGGAAATAGCCTGTAAGAACATCATCTCTTGCGCTTATTAGTGACACTTCTAGGGCTATTCCTATTAAATAAATAGTTTTGAGGTCAACATGAGACACCGACTGGAATGTAACAAAAAGTTACCAAAATAGAACAGTCCTCTTTGTGATCATTAAGACAATGTTTAAAAGGGAGAAATCTATACTATTGACCCAACTTTGATATTTTCTGCTTTAGTTTAGGGTTGTCACCGCAAATCTCAGTTATTAAACTCATTACATGTTGCAGAGGCTCCCTAAGCTGTGTGATTAATAAACCTCTTCTGAATGGAGTCGTCACAAATAGTGTAGTATTCTCTGGTGTATGAGAAATACAGCCACCCGGGCCAGCCAGTGCCATCTACAGCCCAAGATAGCACATTTTGTGTGAGAGCTTTCTGATCAACTCTTGGATTCTAAATCTCTTACACTACATACATCTTAAGTTGTGCTGAATGACAAATAAATCTTGCTGACATTATTGTGGGTAACTGTTCTTTATTGATTTTGGGTAAGTGTCATCAAGAAGCCTTCTCATGACCAAGGAGGGATACTGAGGGACGCCAAGGTCACAGGCAACTCAGTTTGGCTCATCTGTCACCATTTATATTCTCTCCACAAATACTTAGCCTGGTAGTTAAAATATCTAACTCATATAATAACATCAACAAGAGCAGGTACATTAACTACTACTTATTGAGTAGAATTAAGTGATGGTAATTAATCCCTTGATATTGTGAATGGGAGCTTCTTGTTTGAAATTTAGGTTATATGACTGTATCAGTCTGTTCTCACACTGCTCATAAAGACATATCCGAGGCTGGGTAATTTATAAATGAAAAGAGGTTTCATGGACTCACAGTTCCGCGTGGCTGACGAGGCCTCACAATCATGGCAGAAAGCAAAGGAGGAGCAAAGTCATGTCTTACATGGTGGCAGGCAAGAAAGAATGAGAGTCAAGTGAAAGGGAAAGCCCCTTATAAAACCATCAGATTCCATGAGACTTATTTACTACCATGAGAACAGTATGGGGGAAACAGCCCCCAGGATTAAATTAGCTCCCACTGCTCCCACAACATGTCAGAATTATGGGAGCTACAATTCAAGATGAGATTTGGGTGGGGACACAGCCAAACCATATCAATTACTCTAAGGCTTGTCATTGTGTCCCCTGAAGGAATTGGACATTAACTGTGGAAGACATTTGTTTTAGACAGGAAAACCAGAATTTGAAAGGTAGATCCCATAGAGATTGAGAAGACTTGTAGACTGTCTCAAAGCTTTATTCTCTTTGATTTAGACTTTGAAAATGGGAACACAGCTGTGTGATTGTGGATCCCTGCCCATAGGTAGGATGGGGCCCAGATTATGGGAGTCTTAAGGGGCAAGCTGCATTCTATAGTTAGATTATCATGGGTTATGCTTTGTAGAGTTTTACTTGTGTTCTTCTCTCTGTCTTACAATTTGAGATTCTTGGAAGAAAAATACTATTAATTTTATAACCTCTTCTCAAATTATATAGTAGGGTATTAAAAAAAGAATTTTGGCTTCCTCACTGGGCTAGGACATGGCTTACAACAGAAACCATATTTTCCTAGGCTGGACACCATGGCTCACACCTGTAATCCCAGCATTTTGGGAGGCCGAGGTGGGTGGATCACTTGAGGTCAGGAGTTTAAGACCAGCTTGACCATCATGGTGAGACCCCATCTCTACTGAAAATACAAAAATTAGCTGGACATGGTGGTACACGCCTAAAATCCTAGCTACTCAGGAGGCTGAGGCAAGAGAATCGCTTGAACCCAGGACGTGGAGGTTGCAGTGGGCCTAGATCGCCCCACTGCACTCTTGCCTGGGTGACAGAGCAAGAGTCTGTCTCAAAAAAAAAAAAAAAAAAAAAAAAAAAAAAAAAAAAAAAAGGAAACCATGCTTTCTTGAATCCAGTGTAGTTACAGCAGAAATTTCAGGAAAGAACTTGGAAAACTGGTGATTCCAGCAGTTAGGAATGAGGTTGCTGTTCCGTATACTCCTTGGAAGTTATCCTTAGTAAATTGTTTCTTTGGAAGACCTTGTCTTCATTTTTCTTAATGATAGAAAATAGAAATATTCCTATGTTACAGATGAGGAAACTGAAGCTTAAATAGTGTAAGTGACATTCCAGTAATACAGAAACTAAACAAAAGCAAAGGTGAAGTTGGGACCCATGTTAGTCTGATGACAAAGTCCATACTACATACATGGTGATAACCTTTCATGGCTTGAAGACTCTAACTTGGCTTGGCCCAAAAGGGAAACCCAACTTCCCTCCTCACCTCTTTATCCAACAGTCTCATACCACACAGCCATAAACTAAATAGAGTAGGTCCCCCTCTATGGCACAAAGGCCAAGGCAGTGACTGGGGATGCTGCCAAGCAGCAAACCTTTTCCACATAACTTTAGACTGATGTGTCCTAAGGACTAAAGCTATATAGATATGACAGTATTTACAGGTAAGCTGGAAAAGTCATCCCTGTGATGTTTTCTGGCTCACAGTGGGTATTCAGTGAATATTGGTTAAATTGAATAGCAGATTCCAAGTTTGGTGGCCTTTCCTGTGCAAACCTCAGGATGTTTTCACATGTGCAAAGTACGTTTACTTTTCTAAGAACTTTCATATCCATTGTCTTATTTGACCTTCATTAAAAGCATGATCAATATTCCCACTTTGCAGAGGAGATAACAGTTTCAAGGAGATTTGAGACTATCCCATGTTTATGAACTTGTCAGCACCAGTCAGTGGTGACTTGGGGCTGGAAATCAAGTCTTAAAGCATGTGGTCCAATGTGCTTGTCCTTGTTTCTTTTTGAGCACTTCCAATTGGTCTTTAAATGTCTTGAGAGGAAAGAACCAATATTTCTAGAAGTGCTAAGTTCTCTTCTCCTTAAAAAGAGAGACTTATGGCAATGAAAATAATGATGGTAATGCCAAATAGTTGCATTAAACAATTAATGTGTATCCTTGGAATCTTACCAGTACTTTCCTGATACTTGATTTCCCCTGGCTGTCTGAGATTAGGGAAGCCTTAGTCCATGCTAGAGCTCTATAATCATGGGCTGGGGGTGCATAGTTTCTGTAGGATTTTATTCTGAAGATCCTAAATAAGGCTGGTTCCCAAACACAGATACAGTAACCTCTTTAAAATTGGTTACTTTCATGACTCAGAATGGTCTGATTGCCTTTTTTCTTATGTAATTTCCAGTCTATGTAAAATCTAGCTTCTAGCAATGCAGGGAAATTGTGGTCAGAGGTGATTATGTGCCTGGGAGTTGTTTCCTAAAAGATATCAAGAGTCAGAGTTTTAGGATCCAACCAAGCTTAACTGAACAGAGAAAGTTCTTGAGTTGGGGACTCCTAAATTCAGGTCCCACAATGTTTGAAGTCAATAAAACTTCTCCTAGATCCTGTTTTTACTCAAACTGTGGTTCTTAGGACCAGTAGCATTTGTATCCCCTGGGAACTTGTTAAAAATGTAGACTTTCATGCCCCATCTCAGGTCTGCTGAATTAGAATCTGCATTTTAAAGAGATCCTCAGGTGATTTAACTTGCACATTACAGTTGAGAAGCACTTTTTTAGATAGTCTTAGGAGTTACTAAGGCACCTGACTGTGCCGGCTTTGGGTTGAGAAATGCATCGTTATTCTGAGAGAAGAAGGAGAGCAAGACATCAGCCTCCATTAACTTAGAATCAAGCCTGTTGCCAAGTGAGTGTTGAAGTTGATGGAAGGCTATGTTGATTAGTTCATGTAAGTTTAACGTTATAGATAGCTCCAGCTATTCATGTGTCCACAGACCAGGGGCATCGGTATCAGTGGGAGCTTGTTAGAAATGCAGACTCTCCAGCCTGCCTCAGGCCTCCTAAATTAGAACCTGAATTTTAACAAGACCCTCAGGTGTTTTGTACATACATTAAAATATGAGAAACATTGCTGTGGTCCCATCCAACTAGAAGAGCCTGGCCCAGTTCCTTAATGAAGTAAGGAAAATACATCAGCATCTACGGGAGGCTGTTTTGGAGGCAGATTCTTCTGGGGATTATCTTGAGGTAAAGAAAAATAACCAAATACCCTCTAAGGGAGTGGTCTCAAAGCTGGCTGCACCTTGGAATTCTCTAGAGAGCTTTAGGAGAAGCCTAATGCCTGACACCTACTCCGTGATAGTCTAATTTCATCATCCTGGGCCTGGCCTGGTCTTGGACAGGTTTCCAACCTTTGCAAGTGAGTATCACATGCAGCCCAGTTTGAGAACCACTGTTCTAGATGGGACATGGAAGCCTGTCTTCAATTTAGCTTCAATTCTGGGTTAGATCTGAGATGAACCATTTGAAGACTTTCTTGTGGTTTTCTTAACTCTAAAGTAAAAATGGCATTACCTTCAGGATCTTGAGAAAATGTGGGCACAGTGTGAAAGTTCAGGAAGAAAGGTTGAAGAGCCTGATAAAGAATTGAGGCACACTTGGGAGGTACAGGAAGATGAAGCCTGATCTCAGTTCTTCTCCATAACCAGAGACACACGTCTTGCATGCGATTCTCGCTTACTCCGAATGGCAGAAAATTCCAGTTATGACGTCAGGGAAATTGTAAAATGTCAAAGCCTAGAGCAGCACAGGGAAATCATTTTGTTCAGTCTCTTTTTCCGTTTGATGAATACCTGTTTTTTCCTTCTCCAAGTAATGATTCGTTCCTTAAAGGTCACAATGATTTTACTCATAACAGTCTCATTTGTTCTCTCTCATCTCACCCTTCCTTTTCCTTCCTTCCTTTTTTGCCTTCTTTTCTTCCTTCCTTCTTGCCTTCATTTCTTCCTTCTTTCTCTATTGAATGAACAATTACTAAGCACTTTCTGTATGCTAAGATGTGATGCATCATCTTCTGTTTGACTATGTGTACATTGTGCTTTTCTGAACCCTTTCTTGTTAATCTCATTCTTTTTAAAGTTTGGTGTCTAAAATATAATCCAGAACTTTAGTGAGGGTCTGGAAAAGAGAGAGGGCGAAAGGAGTTTGACTTGCCTGCCAGGATGTTTGTATTTAGCTTGTGAAGAGCTCGGAACCCTTGTTTATCTTTCCTTGTCCCAAGGCGACCCACTGCAGAGTCACTTCATTTTGCCAAGGTCAGTGAGAATTATATTCCTGTCTTGTGTTTATTCTTGTCTTATTTGATGTCTATTAGCAAATCTGCCTAACTTAGTATAGTCTGCATATTTGATGAGCACGTTGTCGATTTCTTCATCTCAGCCATCAATAAAGATATTGAATAGGCAATAAAGATATTAAATCTTTCATACTCTGGGACAAAGGCATGGGTGTTTACAATAACACTCATGACCCAAGCAATCCTGTCAACTGAACTCATACTTTCTTCTAGGAACCAAGCTCATGGGGATTTTATTTACACAAAGAACTTCAAATGTCATTAGTGCTGTCAGCCAGTCCCTTAATCCACCTTTGATCTATTGATATATATTGTGCTACCAACACTCTTCTCACTGTAGCTGACAGTCCTTCTTTTCACCCTCCTTTTTTGACTGGGTCTTTGTCTATATAGGCAACCTGGGCTCTGGGCCATGTCACCTAAACACCTGCTAAAACACCTGCGTCTTCCCCTTGAAGTCTTATTATTTCTAGCCATGACTATTTCCACCATAACTTTTTTCTCCTCCCCAATTCATGCTTACACTCGTCATGTCATAAAATTTACTCCCTGCAGTTCATTTGGAAAGCAGCACAAGATGTTGTTTTGATGTTGTCAGTGACCAAGATAGAAATGGGCTTTAATTATTTTAATGCTTGAAATACAGTTCCTCATTCCTGTGGCAAGCTAGCAGATTGAATACACTTACCTTTGAGTTTTACTCTAACAGTTCCCTGATTGGGGTATAAAAGAAGTGCTCAGAATATTTTCGAGGCAATGATTCTTCATTCTGAAATGTCAGGTAGTCAGCAGCCTGTGGCAAGGCCTCCTCTCAATGCTTCCTTTTTGCTTGGCCTCAGATTATCCCCTGACTTAGAAATAAAGTGCCAGTACAGTTAATAATGTGACTGGCGGAGAGACATAGAGTCATTTGTCTCCATAGAGTGAAACAAAAGCCTGTATCAACCCAAACAAACAGATGACAGTCCCTCTCCTGCAAAAGAACTTTTGCTCATCACTGTCCATCCAGGTGACTTTCAGTTTTTGCTTTAATTTAAACCACCCATTTGAAACACCAATCATAGTTCAAAATAAAGACAAATGATGTGCCTTCCTTTGGACTTTGAAATGGGCATCCTGCCTGTTCTGTTTCCATACTGACCAGCTACACATACTGGACTTTAATTTCATTGTCTTATGATAGCCTGTGAATCTTTTTACTGTTTCCATATATGAAATGTTATTCAAGCTTCCAAGACTTCTTACCTGTTGGTGTCACTACCTGGAAAGCCTAGCCCCTCTCCCTGCCTCTTTAGCTATCTAAATGCTACCCCTAGCCCCATTGTCCTGATCATTCCCTTCTCTGGTCATTAAGGAAAACTTCTTCACCCTCCATAGCTTCCTTCTCATTACTCTTGTTTGTCAGACATTTTGACACTTAGTGAGGATATAGCTTGTAACGTTTACTGTTCATTCATTCACTCACTCATCCATCAATAATTTTTATTGAGTACCTACTATATGCCAAGGATAGTAATAAGATACATGGCATAATGGTGAGCAAAAACAGATATGGACCACACTGCATAGAACTTATAGTCTGGTGAAGGACACAGGCATTAAGTAATTGCAAATAATATAAAATGAATAACTATTTTAAATGCTTCACAAATCATAAATATAGGGTGCTTTGAAAACTTTATGATTTTTTTTTGCCAACAATGTAATTTTTGAATTGAAACTGAAAGGATAAACAAGTTGTTTAGGAAGAGGATAAGGAAAAAGAGTAATTCTGCCTTGGGGAGCGGCACTACACAAAGCTTTATGGAGGAAGGAAGATGGTCCATGTGACTTGGAGAGAAGTGTGTGTGCTGTGAGACAGGGCTCCAGAGGGTGGTAGAGTCCAGGCAAGTAGTGTCTACAAGACCTTAAGAAAAATATCGGTCTTTAGTCTTTATTCTATGATCAATAGGGCACCATTGAGGGTTTTGTAGCAAGGCAGGGAAATAGTCTTCTTTTGTAAGTTTTATGCTGGAGCTGTCTGAGAAAAGATTAAACAAGAGCAAGAATTTTGGAAAAAATTGGAGAACACCATTTAGTAAGTTATCTAGGAAAGAGATGTTGGCAGCTTAGGCCAGGGAGCTGGTGGCAGAGATGGAAGGTGTTGAATGAGTTAGAAGATGAGATGACTAGGACCCAATGATCACATGGTTGTAGGGGTTAAGGAAGGGACAATGACAAAGATTGCGCCAGTTTCCGGTACTCAGAACTGGCTGGAAGGTGATGTCAGTACAGAAACTGAATGAGAACTATATTGGAGGGGGAAGATCACGGGACTTGTCTGCATGCTGTAGATTTAATATATTTTTCAGTCATCCAAGCAAACCTCAACATAAGGATCAGGAGCTCTAAGGAGAGATCTGGGCTAGAGCCATCAATGTGGGAAGCTTGTATGTGCAGATGGCAATTGAAGCTCTGGATGTGGGTAAAAATGCCTAGAAAAAGAGGGTGAAATGCTTGCAGGTCTAACGAGACCTTGCAGAATCATATTTCATTCTTCCTTTGTGCCCTTCCTCATACCAAGCACAAACCTGGGTTCATTCATTAAGTTTAGTTAATATTTATAAGACATGATGCTAGTCATTTGTACCAGTCTTTGTTTAATTTTCTTAGCTTTCCTATAATGTAGATATGATTACTTCTGTTTTAGAGATACAGAAATTCACCCTCAGCAGGATTGAATAAATGTCCAACTCACATTAGTAGGAAGTGCCAAAGCTGTAGTAGAAACCATTGTTTTCCCCTCAAACCTCCACCCTGAGCTCCTGCTTATAAAAACCAACCAAAGGAGACCTCAGTAGATCCTTGTTTGTTGATTGATTGATGCCGGATTAATTAAATGTCTGAGAATTAGTAAATGTTACTGATTTTCCATTTTTCTAATCAATACCTGTGAAATAAGCCTTGTTCAGTACAAGCTCCACCTCATACAAGCTCCTGCTTCTGGACTGGGGAATTGTGCAGAGCATACGAGATGAAAGCTGACCAATATAAGCAAATAACAGGTGGCCTTGGGATCTGAAATTGTTTGAAAGCATCCACAAACAACCATGCTCCTCTTCAGCCCTCATGAAACAGGTCAATGAATATGAAGCCAAGTGTATTTGGGGTGATAAAAACTGACCTTAAATAGGGCATTTCCTGGAAGTTGTATCCTGGTAGGGAGGAGCAAGAAGGTAGGGTGACCAACAGCTCCAGCTTGCAAGGCCAAGGGTTTCCCAGAACGTAGAAATAAGTGGAATTTCGAGGGATATTTAAAGGATAGAAGATCATTGAGAATGCTATTGAATTTGGAAAAGAAGGGATTGAAGTTGCCAGCCAAACTGGAACATTAATCCCTTCAAATCTATTAATGAGAAGCTATTAGGATATAACCCCCGAGTAACTGTGTACTTTTCCCAAGGCCTTCCAGAGACAATGACCGAATTGTTATCCTATGCTCTTCAGATATCCTAGTGGGAATTTCTGACCTGGCATCTACGGAACTGGTTTCACTGAAGTTGAAGAAGTGAAATCATTTTTACTTACTCTTTCTCTGCCTTCTCCCTGAACCAGTCCTATTTAAAAGAAAATAATATAAACCATTTTTTTTTTTTGCAAAACTGCTGTAAACCTACTATTGACAAGACAAAATACTGTAGAATTAATGAATTATCGGATCTCAGGAAGCGAATTATTTGCTCATAAATAAGTATGGTATCCTCCAAATCAATTATAAAGCCTGCAAGAGCAGGCCATCTACAGTCTCAAGATTAAGGTTTTTGAATTCTTATTCATTGCTAGTTTATCTTCAGTGCACGCGTGGAGTAAGTACTGAAAATAAATGCTTGCCACGCCAACATGGAAACGCTACATATTCCACGTTTAGGCATGTGACAGGCACCATACATAAAAGTGAAGCTAGGAAATGTATCCACACAGGGGGCATTTGATATGTCACTTTTTAGCAGATGTCTCTTCCCTACCTTATCTGTTCTTTTCCTTAATGCGTCCAGGCTAGACTGTATTATATTCCTGTTGTATGTTCTTGCGATAATTTTTGAGGAAGGGGGGTCTGTTCCGTGGCTGGAGAAGATATAAATGTTAGAGAAAAAGCAATGCCAGAAGCAGAGTAGGGAGCCAATGGCCAGCAAACCAGTTCTAACAGTTCAGATCCAAGAGGATGAGCCAAAAATCAGGGAGACCAGGGAACAGTAATAAGATTAATAGATAATATACAAGACAGAAATAACCTGGGAAATTGCTTGGCAAACCATTGTTGTCTGAAGCTAGCTTTTATGTGCCACCTGCTAGGCAGAGGATGAGGAGGCCCCCTCATTTAAAGGGCCAGGTATGACACAGACAAGAATAAAAGGAGAGCATATATGGATCCAGAAGGGAGTGTTGATTTTATATTGTTTCCAGAAAAAATGGCAATGTGATGAAGTAGAGAGGGAACCCAGGCTTTGGAGTCAGCTAGATGTGGGTCAAACCTCAGCTGCCCTGTTTACTAGATCCACGGCTCTGGGCAAGTGATTCTACCTCTGTGAGCCTCCGTCTCTCCTCTGTAAACTGGGGTTTACAATATCCACTTGGGTGAGGTTACATCATTGGAGTTCCCAACACAGAGCCCAACACATAATAAAATTCCAGCCTAGCAAATGTTTGTTTTTCTTCACACATTTCTCCTCTCACTTTTTTTTTTTTTTTTTTTGAGGCGGAGTCTCGCTCTGTCACCAGGCTGGAGTGCAATGGCGAGATCTTGGCTCACTGCAACCTCTGCCTCCTGGGTTCAAGTGATTCTCCTGCCTCAGCCTCCTGAGTAGCTGGGATTACAGGCACCCACCACCATGCCTGGCTAACTTTTTTTGTATTTTTAATAGGGAAGGAGTTTCACCATGTTGGCCAGGCTGGTCTGGAACTCCTGACCTCAGGTGATCCACCTGCCTCGACCCCCGAAAGTGCTGGGATTACAGGTGTGAGCCACTGTGCCTGGCCTCCCCTCTCACTTTCTCACCTGATGTTCTTGTCCTCTCTTCAACATACCTTCTACCTTGAAATGTACAGTTCTAAAATAAAAGGTGAATCATGAAGCAGTTTGCTCACAATGAAGGGAATCCCTGTGACTTTACACTTTCAGTCAAGCCATCAGTGGATGAAGAAATGGCAAAGGCACCCATGTCAGCAGGGGTGGCAATGTGGATGTATGTCTGTGCACACACATGTGTGTGCATGTGTGCATGTTTGCTGTGTCTGTGTATGTATGTTTGCTATGTCTGTGTATCAGGTATTGAAGACCCTGCCCTGTGCAGAGAAACCCAGCATGTCCACAGACTCAGCAGAAGACACAATGGGTCTGTGACCAGATTGGCCTCTCTACACCCTCCCTGTCTCCTGATGAAGTGAATGTGATTACCCAAGATTCCACAGGGTTTTTTTTTAAGGGACCTCCACTCCCACTCTGGTGGTTGCCAGAATTTCCCTTCCATAGCATGATGACCACATAACTTTCTGTCCCCTGAACTTTCCAAATTCTTCTATGACTTGCTCATGCTAATTTGATCATTTGACCCAGAATTATTAGATGCTCATTATAAGCCCAGCATTGTACAAGGGACTCACAGTAAAAACATAAACAAAACCAACATTGTTCTTGTTTTCAAATAGCTTATAATCCAGGAAATAAGTCAAGTATTTCACAATTCATTATGTTACCACTTACATTAGTTTGCTACAGCTGCCAAAACAAAATACGACAAACTCAGTGGCTTAAACAACAGAAGTTCATTGTCTCACAGTTCTGGAGCTAAAAGTTCAAGGTCAAAGTGTGGGCAGGGTCATGCTCCTTCTGAGGGCAGTAAGGGATAATCTATTCCATATCTCTCTCTTATCTTCTGGTGGTTTGCTGGACATGTGTGATGCCCCTTGGCTTCAGCTGCATCCCCCCATGCCTGCCTTCACCTTCACATGATATTCTCCCTGTGGGGGTTCTTCTGTGTCTAAGTTTCTCTTTTTTATAAAGCACCAGTTTTATTGGAATAGGGGTCCACCCCTGTCCACGATGATGCCTTTTTAACTCATTATATCTGCAGTGACCCAATTTCTAAATAAAGTCATATTCTGAATTAATGAGGGTTAGGACTTCAACATATGAATTTGGGGGAGACACAATTCAACCCATAACAATTCAATGAAAATTAAATTCAATGAAAATTAAGGTAGGAGAAGTACAGAGCTCTGTAGGAAATATATCTGTTCTCTCTACTTGCCTAAATCCCCAAGATACTATGGGGTTCTCCTTCTCAAACTCCTCCTTGGCAGCTCCACTGCACAGTGATCCCCACTTCAGCTTATAGCCCCTCCCTGGGCCTGTGTCCTCTTTCCTCTACCAGGCTCTCGATTCTTTAAAAGCTGAGGATGTGTCTTCTCCTTCCCTTTTGACTGTCTCAGCAGCAACTCATCGCCAAAGCCAGTGTGTTTATTGGAGGCCTGGTGACTTGATAACTGTCCAGCATGGAGCAGGTAGTGCCACACATGAGGTCTTCCCTGCCTTTCCACATTCTCTTACTCCAGTCTGTGCCCTGCAACCTCTGAGCTCCTCTTAGTCACAAAGCCAGCAGGAAATACCTCATGAAGACATAGGCTCCTCCAGAACCCTGTCCTGTGGATGGACTCTGAGCATAGTCTTGGAAAGAGGCATGAGCAAATGCTGCAGCACCTGGACCACTCCCTGTGATAAAAGCTACAACACAGCAGCAAATTACGTCCTTCATTAATGAAAACGACAACCTTATTGGAGATCCTAATGATATCCTCAAATATCACAGGGTGTACATACAGCACTCAAACTTTTAGCAGGGATATCAGAGCCAGGAATACATTCACAGAACTGTTAGTGCTTTGACACATAGGATAGAATGCAAAGAAATAAGAAAGAACCCTTATGCGTCTTTATTTGCATTTGTACAAAACTCTGAGGAAAATATATGTCCTTAATCTGCATATAATATTCACATATTTTATAGAATGTTGAGTTTGATTACAAACTTATGCTTCTGTGACCTTTTTGAATAAACGATTGGGTTTTGTGGACCTGAAGTTAGAGATCCTGCCTGCTCCTAAGGCAGCAAAGCAGATGGTGCATTAATAATGGGGATATTAGGAGGATTGGCTTCCCAATTCCAGCGTATTCATTAATACACTTTAGACAGTTTAATTGCTTCCTGAAACACTAATTGAAAGAGGTTCATTTGCAAATGCCTAGGTTCTAATAATATAAATCTGGCACAGTGCCACAAAAGCCCCTTAAATACCATTATAAGATGAATTGTGGCATTTAAATAAAGGCAGCTAGATTTTAAAAATAAAATCAGTACAGTGAAATATAATGTGTAAAAATTTTTCCAGAGTCAAGGTAAGAAAACACAGTAGGTGTTGAATCCTTCCAATATTGGGGTTTATGAAATACTCATGAATGTCATGCAACTGAGCCTTGGGATTGTGAACATCTGGTATACCCTGTGACTTCAGCAGCAGAAAGCAGAATGTTCTCGTTTACATAAACTCATTTCCTAGAGGAATAGATATGGAATCTTATTTCAAGAGAACATGTGACTAAACGTTGTTACACTTTTGAAGGAAGAATTTTCCCCTTAGAATCATTCTGCCTACTGACCTTCCTTAAATTGTATTTCGTGCCTTTACAGGCATATTGATTCTAGACACACTTCCTTAGTATTTGCCAACTAAAACTCTGAGCAGTTTGGCTAAGACTATGTAAGGAGATTGCTTCTATGTGAAAAAATAAATACAGATTGATCAGCACCTAGATGATAGCAATTCTGTTTCTTTTGGTGGAGTAACTTTCTACAGTTAACTACATGAGTGTTGGATGGATTGCTTATTGGCTGATGAAACTATGAGTAAGCCATGAGCTTGTTATTAGATAACAGTACAGTAATCAGAGCTCCAAATCTTCCACCCAGTCAGTGGGAACTTTGATGGCTTCATTTACTTATGTGAAACAGGGGCAATATGCTTGATATAAGTTGTCATGCAATTAACTTCCAAGAGTTGAGCTCAGTTGGTGTCCAGCATTGTTCTGGGAATAGTTGAAGTCCCTTAGAGGTCAGACAGGTGAGACCTAAGTCCAAATGCAAGGCATGGTGATGAGCCAGGGAATTAGGAGCACAACTGCTAATTTTCCAACAGATAAATGGCATTACATATGAAGGGAGAGCGGCCTTCTGGAGTCTTTGTGGTAAGGCAATGAAGCTACCTAATGTCAGGATCTACTGGACATTTTAGGAACAAAATAGTTTCCCTCAAGAAAAGAAGGAACAATTTGCTGCTTTCAAATGATTTGTCAGTCCTGTTGATTGCTGTCCAGGTGTGAATCTTTGCTTGAATTTCTGCTTTGAGTCTCACCTGTGGCAAAGTCTAGTTGGCCTGATAGTCTTTACCAGTGTAGTAGTGCTGTATGTGTAACTGACATGATTCCAGCTATACACATCAATCTATGATCGTGCTTTTGAGTTTATTGTGCTTTTCATGAGAGCTATAAATTTAAAAGTTACTTTTTTTTTAGTTTAGGGGGACATTAATTTTTTATTTAAAATATTTTAAATATAAAGAATAGAAATTATCTTCCCATTTCTCACTCTCTCAGCCCTAAACTCACTGAAGACAGAGATTATGACTTCAGTCAATGTTATATACGGTACCATCATAAAAGCACTCAGTGTAAAATAAGTTTTATTTTGTTATTACCATCGCATATTCTTTTTGTATTTTTCTTTGTCTTGCCTTTATCCCAAAAAGTGATCCTAAGTAGACAGTAAACTTCAGATGAGTTAAATTGAATTGAAATGGAGATAAATAATTATTATTTAGAGTAAATGGAAAGAAAATTTGTTATATCTCAGCCTAGGCTAGAGCTATGTAAAGCCAAGCTGTCTCTATGTTTGACCTAGTTGCTGAACATGTAGAGTTGTTGGTTTGACATCTTTCAGAAAGACAAACTTTGAGAGAGATCATTCAGCCCCAAGAAATGTAATCATTTTCATGTAATCATTCTTAGGACCAGAGGAAAAATAGGACCCTACTTGTCCACTAAAACCAACATTCCTATTATATGTCTGACCATCTTCATTTCACTCTTATTTCTTTTGATTTAGATATAGCCCCTCATATCTTATTGCACTGCATACTTGTACACCACGGGCCAGAGAAGAAACAAGATATGTCCCCAAATGAACCATCTCCCTTTTCACTTTTTTATTTACTTCCCCTCTTAGCAAACTCAGAAACCTCAGAGTCATTCTCAGGTCTTCTCTCCTCTCACCATACTCACTGGCCACTACTTTTTTCCTGTCCTGTCTCCTCAGCTTCTAGTTGTTTTTCTCGTTTTCTGTCTTACCCCCTCTTCATCCATCCTTCACACAGTTTGCTGAATAACATTTCTAAACTGGAAGTCTGGACCCACCACTCTGCTGCCTAAAATCTGCAGGATGAAGTGTAAACACTTCAGAAAGGCACCCTTTCTTCACAGCTGCCCAGATCTTTATCAGTAGTCAAGTTCTGAACCCCACTCCAAGCAATGTTAGTCTCTCCTCTAAGGTGCCATGGGGCCTTTTGGTGTATTTTGCTATAATATTGATACACACACTGTCATTTGTTATTTCATTCTCTCTCTCTCTAATAGCCGGCCCTTGGAGGTAGAGACCTTGTTTTCTTTTTCTTTTAAATATTTCTATCGTCAGTCATTTGCCAAAAAAATTGACATATAATAGGTGCTCAGTAAATCACTGTTGACTGCAATTGAATATAACAGGATGAAAACAGTAAGCTTTGATCTTCGCTAAGTAAAGAAATGTAAGCAGTATGAGAACCATGTAGTGTCAAATTAGAGGGTCAAAGGCATGTTGGATCACAAGGCATTATGCTGAATATTTGAGGGCTACATTCATATGATAATATCTATACTACAGAGACCACACTGTCTATATCTGAGATCTGTCTGATTTTGAGGCTTAGACCTTCATAGTTTCTCTGTGTATCTAGCTGTTATAGAAATATATAAATTGATATGTACATGTATGTGTATGTTTCTCCATATATATATATATATATTTCTCCATATATTTATATATATATATATGTCTCTGTGTTTCCAAGATTGAGCCTATATCTTAAAATGCATAAACAGTAGCACATTTTAATGAATATAAGTTTCTTAATCAAACAGAACATTGATAACAAATGTTCTTTTTCAACTTGCTAAATCCTATCAGACCGGAGTTTAAAAGTCTCAAATTACCTTATTTAGGAAGATACCTCTGTGATAAAACGCAGCCTCTTAGGTGATATATCGTCTGCTAAAGTGAAGTTCACCTGATTTTCTTTTAGATAAGGACCTGAGAGAAGATGGTTTGGAGAACTAGATCCTAGACCTGTTAAGGGGAACAATAAAATTAATTAATATTATGGTGGAGAGAGTAAAAGAGAAGGGGAAATGGGAAGAGGAGAGATTATGAGTCAAGTTTTAACTGCAAGCATGTTGCTCATATTTTATTCTGAAAAAGTATCTATTGTGGGATAGTCCCTGGTAACTGATAATTGGTGATAGCAGATTCTAGTTACAAGGAGACATTTAAGCAAGAACAATGGTACAGGAAGGGTCAGGGTGCTTTAAGGTCAGGTTTTTTGTTTTTTTTTTTTTTTTTTTCGAGACGGAGTCTTGCTCTGTTGCCCAGGTTGGAGTGCAGTAGTGCGATCTCGGCTCACTGCAACCTCTTCCTCCCGGGTTCAAGCGATTCTCGTTCCTCAGCTACCCGAGTAACTGGGATTAACAGGCTTGTGCCACCATGTCCAGCTAATTTTGTATTTTTAATACAGACAGGTTTTCACCATGTTGGCCAGGCTGGTCTCGAACCCCTGACCTCAAGTGATCCGCCCACTTCAGCCTCACAAAGTGCTGGGATTACAGGTGTGAGCCACTGTGCCTGGCCAAGGGTCAAGTTATTTAGGGCATGACATCCTGGATTCATGTGGCAGATCTAGAAGTGCCATTTCTGAAGGGTTAACATGCTACTTTTCAATATTTAAATACCTACCAGTTTTAACCACTCTCATTATTTCCTCTCCCACTAATCACTGTTATAGGCACCAAATAGTTACAGTTTCAACTGCATGTAGAGCCTTGGCTTAAGAATTTTCATGAATGTTTTCCCCAAATCAAGTAAGTGTTTGAGGTTGAATCCAGATACAAAAATTACAGTCACCAGAAAGGAATTAGAGAATAAAATGTCTAGTATTGTTAATAATTCTCAAAATGTTCTAGTGGAAAAAAATTTAAAGTTAGTTAGTTGCCTTAGAATTATATTCATTGACACAGGTATGACTTGTTAGTGTTAATCATAAAGAAATTATTAACCATATATATTTTTTCTCAAACCAAAACCATACCTTTCTCATCCTCTCTTCTTTTTCTCTCTCTGCCACACAAACACACACACACCACCCACATTGTAAATCACTAAAATCCACAGTAAATAATGTCATTCCACTTATGTTGTTCTTTGTACAAATCTTGAAATAATTAGCCTTGCAAATCAAATATCACAATTGAGATGAAAAGGAGGTATACTTTGACTAGAAACAAGATTAGGTCCAACGACTTGGACTGAATGATCTCTGTGTAAGTAGTGCATCTTCCATGCTCATTAAAGCAAGTTCAGGTAAATTTCTGCTAGAGGGCACTTCTTATGACTTGTCTCTACTTAAACATAGTGAAACTTCTCTTTAAATAATCTGAAATTTCACACTAAACACTTCAGCTGATTTTACATAGGGAATGTTTGTCATATACAATCTGCCTAAATATCTTAGTCCCCTTCCTATTATGGGGTTTTCCACTTTTATGAGTCTTTGTGCAAGGCCTCATTATGGAATTTAAAGGGAGCCCCAGGCTCCCTCCCCATGCCCTTTGTTAAAGGTGCAATCTTATGAAGTAGGCTTTGCCAGTTGGTTGCTTCTGCCCCAGAGGCATAGAGAGGCAAAGACAGCATAGACTTCATTTTCATGGTGGTAACATCTTGTCAGCTAGAGAGGTGTCAATCAGTGGGATCCTAAGCATATTTTTCTTATGACTTGATTTTGGCCCTGATTCCTGCTCTCTCTTCCCTCTTAGTTTAGCTAATACTTTTTTAAAAAGATGATTAAAAAATAATTTCATGGCCATTTTTCATCAATTTATATTGACCAATTTATATTTGGTCAATTCAGGTCAGTTCTTCCAAATGTGTACTTTTTATCCTTTTATGTGCTATGAGTAGAGTAATATATGTATTCTTGAGCATTTCACGTAGTTTTAAATAAGCACAAGACTGTTAAGTTTTACTAGGTAAAATTATTGTGTTTATTAGTTGTCTCTACTTAAACATGATGGAATGACTTAAATACTCTCAGATTTTACACTATCCCTTTTCCCTTCTCACAACGAATGTCCTAAATCTGTGAGAGCTTACTAAAGCTAAACTTTATAAAAGAAATAGTTGCTTTAGTTTTGTATTTTGGTATATTGAATTATCTTTTGCCATTATTATTGAATCTCAGTTATGTTTAAAAGTCAAAGTCATTAAATATTTTAAGTTTCCTTTGGGGTTTGTCTCTTCTTATTAGGACTGGGATATGGAGAAAATGTATATCTGAAAGACATTAGTAATGAATTTGCCAAATCTCATATGTAAAAAGGGTCAACTTCCTGGGCAAGACAAAAAAAATTCTAGTTCCCGTGAAGATGAACTAAAGAGAACTTGATTTCAAGTCTGAGAGATTCAAGGAGATTTAGGGGTCAAATCTTTCCTCCTACCTAAATGTATAGAGAAAGTCCCTTGCTTCTCCCCTCTGCCCTACCATGAGGGCTTTCCTTAAAAGCCCAGGAAAGATGTGAGGCTGGAGAGGGGATTTGTTGGCAATTTACAGGCCATGGAGTCATGTGTAAATCTGCAAAGCCAAATTAGTTTCACAGTATGTTCAGCTGTAATAGAAATTCTCCTCCCTTGGTGGGGGTCTTATAAAGAGAAAAGTTTGGACTGGGTTATAAGAAAATGGTGTTCTGTATTTGCCTCCTGGTGGCATGGTTTTAGATGACGAATCAGGCTAGACCTCCAAAATATATTTGAGCTGTGAGGTAGGCTGCTTACCCTACAGTATGGACAGAGAGAGTTTGAGGAACATGTGTTTGTGTATCTTCTCTGTGAGAACATCTAAAGAGTTGGTTTTTCTCCTTTTATTTCTTTTTAAGACACTGGGATTTGGCTATACTCATTCATCTTTCAAATGTAAAACATAGTCTTGAACAGCGTTTGGATGACCACAGACAAGTTTGAATTTTTACATGGCTTCAAGTAACTTATTCTGACAGCTTTAGACAGACATATTGATTAATAATTATGTCCCTAGCAGTAAGTATCCTCCCCCTCAGCCATTCTCCATTTTATTATAGTGTAAATATGTAGTCTGCACAAAATTAAAGCTATTATGTGCTTGAAACACTGGCTGCTGAAGAGATGTTTATTCTAAAGGATGAGACTGGCTAAAATTGCTACTAGCTCTTTTTTTTTAAAAAAAAAAAATTCAATACTAATTTTTTCTCTCCCCACTTCAAAACTGTGTTCCTGAGTCATTATTTCTTCTGAACTATTCTATTTTCCATCTAAGACATCTCTTTATGGAGCTGCAAATGATCTTGAGTGTGAACATTCAATGTTCATGTCACCACCTCTGCAGAAACCTGAACTGTTAAATTATGAATTCGTGGTCTCGTTTCACACCATGCTAGCCCAGGCTAAAGCACTCCCATAAGAAATGTCAGTTTTCATCTAAACGCGCTGAACAGTAAATGTCTTCTCCTTGGAGCATGCCCTATTTGTTGAAAAAAGACACAGAAATTTCAGAGTTCATATGTTGCACTTTGGGATCACACAGCTGGTTTAAAAATTAGTGCATTTGGAATAATTAATGGTTGACTAGAGGCATTCTGCTGTTAAGTATGGTTCAAAATGTTCTTGACAACTAGAATGTTAGAAATTGTCCCTAAAATTCTTAGATGTCAGCGTGTTTGGAAGACAGGCTAAATGAATGAGACTCCAAGGAGTCTCAAGCAGAGTTTTTAATATAAACACAAAACTTCCATGCTCATGGCAAAGTATGCTGTAATGTATTGTGAAGATTACATGAATTAAAACATACAAATTATCTGCAATTGTATCTCATACATAGTAAGTGCTTAATAAAATTGTTTGTTATTATTCTTTCTCTTCTTTCAGGGACTTTTATCCTGCTTAAGGGTATTTAAAAACTGACAATATTAGAATTTAGATTTTGGGCAAACTAGAGAATGATGTAATTTCATGAACTGAGTCATTAGTAGGACTATTTGAAAAGGATTGTTTTTATATTTGCCACCATCCTAAAGAAACAAATAATCTTATATATTTCTCAGAGGTGTCTCTTTGAGACCTTTCACTGATACATATTGGTTCTTAAACCATGGGGATAAGTCTAGATTTGAAAAGAACTTGAACAGAAACCTATTTAGAAAATACAAATCCAGGTTTGCAAAATAGTTCCTACAAATATTTCACCTTTGCTTGACCTTGAACAGTTTCATGAAGAACACATTTCTTTGAAGGTGACAAAAAGAAAACAAAACTCAGTCACACTAGTCTCACTGGGGCAGAATTGGAATTTCTGTATAAATATGTTATTGGACTATATCATGTTCATTCATTCATTCATTCATTCATCTGTTTATCTATTCAAAGTATTTGTTGAGTGCCTACTAGGGGCTTGACATTGTTCTAGGTGCTAAGATATAGCAGTGAACAAAACTGAGAATATCTCTTACCCCGAAGAGTTTATAGTCTAGGAAGAAAATGAGAGAAATATTAAGTAAACAAGTGATATAGAATGTGTCAAATAATAAAAAGTGCTATGCAGAACAACAAAGTAGGGTAAGGGGCAGAGGGGTATAGAGGTTAGAAAGAGATTTACTCCTTAGAGGGAAGATCTTTCTAGTAAGTCCATGTTTAGAATACTTACCTGAAGGGAGTGAGAGCAAGAGAGCAAGCTATGTGGGCACCAGGGGTTCAACAGCAGTTGGAGCAGGTGAATTTAAAAGGCCAGTTAGACATTCAGATGATGATGTTGGATTTGCAGTTCAGCAGCTAGATATTGTAGCCTGAAGTTCAGGACTGGAGACACATGGAACTGTCAACCTATTGGAGGTTCTTAGAGTCAAGAGGTTAAATGGGTTCACCAAGAAGAGTGGGTAGATAAAAGAGAGGTTTAATGTCTGAGCCCCAAGGAACTCCAAATGTAGAGGGTGGGAAAATGAGGAGGAACCACTAAAGGAGACTCAGAAGGAGTATTTGTGAGGAAGAAGAGCAGCAAGTAAGAAGGTGTCTCAGAAACCAAGTAGAATGATATTAATATCTAAAGCACTAATATAGTACTGAATAGATTAAATATCAGTATCTAATAGAATGATATATCTGTTATCTCAAATATTACTATAGCTAGAAGACTTCGGAATTTTCCATATGTTATTAAGCAATGGGTTCCAGAATGAGGAAGATAATAATGGTGTTTGGGAAGCATTTCCATTGGCTTGAATAGAAACCAAACATTTGTAACCACGAATGGCACAAGAATGGCTGAAAAGCCATTGAGCATTTAGCTTCATTTCCAGGGAGGCATGGTTTACCTTTGACAAAGTTGGATTGATTGATTTAACTTCCAAACATACTTCAATTTTAGCAGAGGCTGAAACAGTTGACTCACACCTATCATCTGGGGCTGGCATCCCAGATGTAACATGAGTTCTGATGACATCAGGTATCTCCATCTAGGGCTGTTTTTGAAGGCAATTCACAGGAGAGTGTTCATGTGAGCTCAGAAAAACTTAAGGATGAATAAAAAAACAAACTCTAATTGTGAGTGAGCTCCCTGTTTTGAGAGGAAATTCAATAATTAATTCAATCAATTGAGAGCCTCTCTGTGTTACAGAAATATCACATACCAGATAGGTCAGGTCGAGCAAAAAATAAAGGGAGAAATACAGTAACATTAAGTGAGAAAAACAGGATGCAAAATTATAGCATATATGAGGCATAAAGCTAAAAAACGTAAAAATTATACATATTAAAAATATGAAGAAAAGGTACTTAGGGAACTAAGAAATGTTCTAATTTCGTCTATAATTTTCCATATTTTCTCAATGTTTCTAATATGAGTATAATTGCTTTTATAACAAGAAAGCAAACTTTAATGAAAATATAAGTAACTGAAAACTTTATAAATTAATTTTTTTCTTTAACATCTAATAGGGGAAAAGGAAACAGTGCTTATTTCTACTTATCTTTCCTTTAAGTTTATACCCTATTTATGAAATTCAACTTCAACTATGCTAATGGCTGTGAAAAGCATGCAGCCACCCTACCTGCTATCAGAGTGGATTGCCTGGAGTGCTGCCTTCTCAAGCTGCTGTTTTATTAATGATCTTGAAACTGAAATACTAAGGAATGAAGAAGTGTTAAAAAGACTTTGTGATATGCTACCAACATTTGCCAAGAAAATGAAAGACGCTGAGATGACAAAGCACTAGGGAGGGTATCAGAGAGCCAAGTGTTCCATTTTCTGAGCCTCTGACCTCTGCAGTCAGGGTTTCTAAAGACCAGTCCTCCCTGGGTCAGGCTTGTGTCATCCACCCTCCACCTGCATGCAATCATCTGTCTTGTGAGAAGTCTGACTTGTCCTTAATAAAGCTTGGATTGATTGATTTTATTTTCAAACAAATTTCAATTGCAGCACAGTGGCAATTTTGGAAGAAAAAGAAAGATTTAGCCTTCATTCTCTCACTTTATTAATTTTCTTTTTTTCCTCTCTTTTTGAGACAGAGTCTTGCTCTATTTCCAAGGTTGGAGCGCAGTGGTGTGATCTCAGCTCACTGCAACCTCCACCTCCTGGGTTCAAACAATTCTCCTGCCTCAGCCTCCCGAGTAGCTGGGGCTACAGGTGCCCACCACCACGCCCAGCTAATTGTTGTATTTTTAGTAGAGATGGGGTTTCACAATATTGGCCAGGCTGGTCTCGAACTCCTGACCTTGTGATCCACCCACCTTGGCCTCCCAAAGTGCTGGGATTACAGGTGTGAGCCACCGTGCCTGGCCTATTAATGTTTTTAATAAAGGAGAAAGATTATTCAAAATATGAGAATCTAGCGGCCCATTTTGCCTAAGTTAAATTACATATCATTAATGTGTTAAGTTTTATAAAATTAAAAATGTTTAAATGGTTTCAGATTCATTTTTTTTTTCTTTCAAGCTACATGTAGCTATAGTTTTACCACCTGTTTTATTTAAACTGAAAAAGATAGTGTATGTTCAGAGGATGTAATGGATACCAGAAACAAATGAAAAATGGAAAACAGAATTGTTGCCAAGGTTGTCTGCAGCTGTTTACTTCTGTAGAGGAATTATGGATGGGGCAGCTTTGTAGAGAAATACCCGTATCTTTGGGATCGCCAAGGCATACTTGGAAACACAAAACTGTGAAGCAAGTTCTTTGTAGCATCAAAAGGGTTCACTCAATTCTTAAAGCAGCCAGTGTCTTCCTTTTTAAAAATTTTATTTCAGTATATTTATTTATTTATTTATTTTTGAGAAGAAGTCTCACTCTGTCACCAGGCTGGAGTGCTGTGGCATGATCTCAGCTCACTGCAACCTCCGCCTCCCAGGTTCAAGCAATTCTCCTTCCTCAGCCTCCTGAGTAGCTGGAACTACAGGCACGTGCCACCACACCCAGCTAATTTTTGTATTTTTAGTAGAGGTGGGGTTTCATCATGTTGGGTAGGATGGTCTCGATCTCCTGACCTCATGATCTGCTGAGCCACCACACCCGGCCTTTTTTATTTTTTATTTTACTTTAAGTTCTAGGATACATGTGCAGAACGTGCAGCTTTGTTATATAGGTACACACGTGCCATGGTGGTTTGCTGCACCTATCAACCCATCATTTAGGTTTTAAGCCCCGCATGCATCAGGCATTTGTCCTAATGCTCTCCCTCCCCTAGCCCCCACCCCCTTACAGGACCCAGTGCATGATGTTCCCCTCCCTGTGTCCATGTGTTCTCATGTTCAACTCCCACTTATGAGTGAGAACATGCAGTGTTTGGTTTTCTGTTCCTGTGTTAATTTGCTGAGAATGATGGTTTCCAGCTTCATCCATGTCCCTGCAAAGGACATGAACTAATCCTTGTTTATGGCTGCATAGTATTCCAGGGTGTATATATGCCACATTTTCTTTATCCAGTCTGTCATTGATGGGCATTTGGGTTGGTTCCAAGTCTTTGCTATTGTAAATAGTAGCAGCCAGTGTCTTATATGAGTAAGTAACCAAACTGGAGAGCAAAGAACTGAAGTATTCTTTCATTGGGTAGTTGGCTATTAAATGCTTGCTGCTTGGGTCTTGTTACCATAGTTTCGGTGAAACTGAAGTAGGCAGAGCAAGGACTGGAGAAGATGTGCAGTAGCAGCAGGAACAGGCAATGGGCACCATCTCCCACTGAGTGGTTGTCCTGATGTGGCCTTGCGCTTTATCTACTCTGTCTCATTCACTACTTGCAAATGCTCTCTTAAGTGGGTAGCCACTTCTCATTTTCACAGATGGAGAAATGGAAACTTAGAGAGATTAGATCATTTGCCAAAGAAGACATTGAGCAACAAGCTTTCAAACTTTGAGTCCATGATCCATTTTTTTGGGGGGGGGTGGGGGACGGAGTCTCACTCTGTCGCACAGGCTGGTGTGCAATGGTGCAATTTCGGCTCACTGCAAACTCCGCCTCCCAGGCTCAAGTGATTCTCCTGCCTCAGCCTCCCGAGTAGCTGGGATTACAGGCATACGCCACCGTGCCTGGTTAATTTTTGTATTTTTAGTAGAGATGGGGTTTCACCTTGTTGCCCAGGCTGGTCTCGAACTCCTGATTTCATGATCCGCCCGCCTCCCAAAGTGCTGGTATTACAGGCATAAGCCACCACGCCCAGCCTATGATCCAGTTTTAAAAAGACTGAGCTACTCCAGACTTTGACTTTATCAGACTCTGTCTCTTTATGTTGTTTTAAGTCTTTTATTCTTACTTTTAAAACTGTCTTAAGAACGTCTAAAAACTTTTCTGTTGTATCTTCCTGAGCATCTGTAAACAATCAACACCTCTAAAATGAGATTCACCTAAAATAGCAGGGCCTTCTAGTAAAAGGAAACCCATAAAAAGCACACCTGGTATTTTTTAAAAAGATGCTGTTTTTGATGGATTTAAATTGGACTTCAACAGTAGACATATTTAACCATATTATATTTGATCTAAAAATTACCTCCAAGTTGTCAGAGGTACCTTTGTGAAAACTTTGTCTTAAACAGTATGTGTTGATGTCCTTTACTAAAAGAGATTTGAAATAAGTGACTAGATTCTCAGAAGTAAGGCAGTGATTTAAAGAAGTGCATTCCCCCACCCACCTGGAAATAATGAGCTTCATCGATATAAGTGCCTGTGCCGTGGCCATCAGGCTCTTCCAGAGTACTTGGCAATCTAATTGGATGGCTTCTAATCCTGGGACATTCAGGCTCCTATCACCTTCCTCAACTCAAGAGCTCCAATTGATTAGACAGTGATGGGTTATAAGGATTTTCTTGGAAAGTGTGTCCCTAGGCTTTCATACGTCAATAGCAGAAGGAACAGACTTCAGAGAGTGTTGTTCATTGTTCCTGAGAGTTATACTCTCGGCTTCTCATAATGGAATACAAGTATTTTAGCATCTCCTTTTTTGCTCATCGGCCTGCTCCATCTGTTGCTGTCCTTCAGTTTCCTGACTTAGACTCCTCTTCTCTGCTTTTCCCACCAGAGGTCCTGCTTCCTTTTCTCACAGCAATTTGCTAGACTTTTCATTATTCATAATAAACCATCAAAGATATGCTAACACTAAGGCAAAACCTGTTTTGCATTGATTCATTAAGCAAGTATTTATCGACCCCACGTGAGGCACTGTTACCAGCATGGGAGATGTATTGGTGCAGAAAAAGTCGTGATGAAACTCATGCTTATGGAGTGGAGGCAGACAATAAATAATTAGAAGCTCAGACAGGGATGAGCACTCCAGAGAAAAGCAAGGTAGTAACAGGGTGGTGGGGGTGCCAGGAGGGGGTGCCATTTTATTTTTAGTGATCAAGGAAACTCTGACTTCCTTTTCTGATCCAGTTGATAATTGATCCGAAACTTGAAGGAAGTGAGTGTGAACTCATGTGGATGTCTGGGGGAAGGGCGTTCCTGGCAGAGAGAACAGCAAGTACAAAGGGTTTGGGAATGGTATGAGTGTGACTGTGGCAGGGCAGAGAGCAAGAAGGAGCAAGGCTGGAGATGAGGCTGTGTAGAAAGCTAAATACATATGGTCTCGTAGACTCATAGATAAGGGCTTGGGCTTTTACTGCAAGTGAGATATGAAGACTCTGGATGGGTTTTTAGACAAAGAGTAACATAATCTGACTTTCATTTTAAAGGAATCACTGTGGCTGCTGAGATAAGAATAGACAATATGAGGGTAAGGGAGGAAGCTGAGAGACAATTGCAATAACCCAGGAGAAAGATGATCATGGCTTACATCAGGCGGAAAGAGTGGCGGTGAGAAAATCAGTTGAATCTGGATGTATGTTACAACAATTCTCCTAGGAAAGCTTGAAATTAATGATTGCAAATGCTTTAAACTTCTCCAGCTCCTCAAGTTCTTACATCTAGCAAGAAAGTTTCATGTGTTCTAGATGCCCTCGACTCTTCTGTCTCAGGTCAAAAGCTACACTCTGTCATAAAGAAAAAGGAAATGACACCGTCCTAGGCTGAATCCTGATTCAGAAGGTAGGTGGCTGTGCGGAAGTTACTGAACCACACTTTGCCTCATTTCTTCATCTATAAAATGAAAATAAGAGTAGTTAGGGCTGTGTTGAGAATTAAGTAAGATCAATCCATGGAAAGTACTTAGTGCAGTGACTAGCATGTAGGCAAAATTCAGTAAATGTTAGCTATGGTTAAAATGATTTTAAATTATTACACATGCTTATATCTAAGTCCTCAGTGAGGGCCTAGCCAATTCTACTCTTTTCTCAGTCCTAAAGCTTTCTTTCTCAGCCTCTGAAGCTGTCTACTTCAGCCATACTTACCTCTCAAAGACTTAGCTCACAGTATCCGTGGATTGCAGCTCCCCTGTTCTCCATTTCCCGTATCTTCCAAGTGCATCCCCCGCTAGCCCCCTGGACTCAAACCTCCCATTTGCATTTTTTCTTAATTGAAGGTTGCTTCCCTCTCTTTTATTTCCTCGGTCTATGTAGAAGCCTGCTTACTCTTGATTTCCTAGATTTCAAACTCATGCCCATAAAGCCCAACCCTGAGGAATATTGATTGGATCCCTGTATCTGCTTAAATTTTCCTCATGGTTCTTCCGCATTCTTTGCTCTTTCCAAACTTTCCTCTTCTCTGCTTCAACACTTACTTTTTCTTTTATTTTCCTTTCCTTTCCTTTCCTTTCTCTCTCTCTCTTCTTTTTTTTTTTCTTTTTTGATGGAGTTTTGCTCTGGTCAACCAGGGTGGAATGCAATGGCACGATCTCGGCTCACTGCAACCTCCACCTCCTGGGTTCAAGCAATTCTCCTGCCTCAGCCTCCTGAGCAGCTGGGATTACAGGCACCTGCTACTATGGCCCCCTCCCTTACTTTTTAACCAGTAGTTCAGATAGGTTGCCAAGAGCCTTGCCTGTTGAATCCTTCCATTTGCTGCTTGTGAAGCTACCACTACAGTTTCAATTCTTTTCCCATCTCTCAAGACCTGTGGGCAGCTCCCCATTGCTTACTCAGCTGACTTAGGTGGGCATTCAGAGCATGTCCAGTATATTCTTTGTTTGCCAGGTGTTTTCCTGGACCATTTAGGAGGCCACTAAATCCTGGATATGTCCTGATGGGCCCCAGCTTTGCCCATGCTTTCTAATAGAAGCAAAAGTACAATGCTGCTTCCATGCTTCACCTTGCCTGGGTACACTGGCCCCATTCTACATTTCTGCTTTTTGAAGACTTGAATTACTCTAATGGACTTGCAGCTCCATAAAGCCAGGTGTGATCCTTTAAATCCTATGCTTATGCATTGTGCTGTGAACTGCTCCACATCTTGGGATTCATCCATGGTAATAACAATGCACCATTAGCTTTTTTCCATTTCATATTTCATGGTTACCTGATGACTGCACTTGTATTCTAGATGCATTCAAAGAGAACTCAAGTGCACTAATGCACACTCAATTTTTATTAAAAAAAAGAAGATAAAAGAGGGCCCTTAGAGAAATGACGATGTTAAGAATTATTATGGAGTGTAAGTAAAACTTTGCTTCTAGGGTGTGACACTGATATCCTGAAACTCTGTGTTTATTTTTTAATTTAAAACTTGCTTTTGTTTCTTTTTGCTTTAATTCCTTTCTAAATAAGCAAAAGCATTTGAACAGCATGTTATAGTTTCTAAAGAACATTTATGCACATTCTGTTATTCAAACAGTATCTAAACACAGAAGTCTTCCTTGGAGAAAGATAAAAATAAATCAATATTCTACCTTCAAGGAGTTTCCTATCTGGTTGGATAGAGACAGACAAAAAATAATTAACTCATTATTATGCAGTTGGAGTTATCATTATTATATAGTCAGGCTAGGGCTTTTTAATAGGAAATATATTTAACGCAGTGTGAAAAGGGCTGAAGAAGCTTCTGACACATCTCTCTCTTTGCTGGCTGAGCAAACAGCTTAATCCTCAGCTTCTCCACCTGTCTTCTTGGGAGTGCCAACAAGTCCCCACCCATTTCCCCAACTCTGGCCAACTGTGCTGGGGCTGGGTTGTGAACTGATTGCATATGTTACCAAGGAAATTATTGGGATGTCAAATGGCAGTGTCATCTTCCTGGCAACACAACTTTGAGCAGATTGTGATCTAGTGACCTAGAGGCACATCATTCAAAATGCCAGCCCCACTGCTGCTCCACCCCCCATTTTCACTGTCCAGGCAGGGACCCCATCTGGCAAGGGAGAAGTACAAATAGATTAAGAGTTCTATTTCTTAAGCCTTTTTCTAGAGTGGCTGCTTGCAGATTTTCAGCCAGTCCCCATATTTAGCAAGGTAAAGCTTGACCCATAAATAGTTACTGTCTCTTGGTCCTTCTACGTTAGCTTTTCACACATTACACCAGAGATCTTGAAAATGTAGTGAATTCTACAAAAATTGAAAGGTGAGACTATCATTTTCCTAAAATATATGGAGCCCTAATTTTTTGTATTGTAGACCACAAAATAAATGCTTAACATGTGTTAAAATATTTGCTCAAAATAATTCCCCATTTTCTCCCCCTGGATATCAGACATTTTCTCATCCTTTTCTCTTTTCTTGAGATGATTGTGAGTATGTGTTCTTGTACTGCCCCAGGTTTTTTCATGTCCTTTTGATGTAGGCTTAGTTTGATATTCCAGATGAATACTGTGTTTATTTTATTACAGAAAAACATAATTCTCTTCAAAAGTCAACAAGCATGTTTGAGCTCTTCAAAGCCTGCTGTACACATATCTAATATAAAAGTCTAGTTTGTTTAATTCATTGATATGCAATCTTCCATTAATTCACTCCATAAATAATTATTGTACATCAAGTAAGACGTGATGCTAAGCAATATGAGGTTAGAAAGATAATCAAACAGATCTCATTGACAAGAAACATAGAGTACAAAAGTAAGTGTAATTTAAAGTTGAGTATGGCAGATGCTGAAAGAGAGGTACCTTCAAAGTGTTATGGAGAAGAGCAGGGCTAATTAATATTTCTTTCTTTTTTCAGGGTAAAAAGAAACTTCTATTTTCCTTAATAATATTATTTCTGGCTGTCTTAGCCTGTTTTGGGTTACTACAAAAGAATGCCTGAGGCTAGGTAATTTATAAAGACAAGATGTTGGCTGGGTGCTGTGGCTCATGCCTGTAATCCCAGCACTTTGGGAGGCCGAGGTAGATGGATCACGAGGTCAGGAGATCGAGACCATCCTGGCCAACATGGTGAAATCCCATCTCTACTAAAAATATAAAAATTAGCTGGGTGTGGTGGCACACACCTGTGGTCCCAGCTACTCGGGATGCTGAGGTGGAAGAATTGCTTGAACTTGGGAGGCAGAGGTTGCAGTGAGCTGAGATGGCGCCACTGCACTCCAGCCTGGCGACAGGGCAAGACTCTGTCTCAAAAAAAAAAAAAAAAAAAGAAAAGAAAAAATAAGATGTTTATTTGTGTCTCACAGTTCTGTAGTCTATATGAAAAAGCATGGTATAGCAATCTGCTCATCTTCTGGTGGAGGCCTCAGGTTGCTTCCACTCATGGCAGCAGGGGAAAGGGAGCTGATGTGTACAGAGATCACATAGTGGGAGACAAACAAGAAAGAGCGGGGAGGTGCAGGCCCTTTTTAACAACAAGCTCTTGCCCAGGAACTAATGGAGTGAGAATATACTCATCTCTGAGGGAGGGCATTAATCTGCTAATGAGAGATCTGCGCCCATGGCCCAAACACCTCCCAACAGGCCCCACTTCTCAACACTGCCACACTGGAGATGAAAATTCAACATGAAACTTGGTGGGGACGAACAAACCATATCGAAACCATAGCACTTGCTCACAGAGCTAATTTTTATAAACTCATGTTTAATATAAAGCTAGCATCTACATTTGAGCAGAAAAATGATTTTAAAACTATTGTAACGTAAATGTAGGCTTTGTTAGTGACCCATGGTCATTTGATGCTATGATACTTTGTTGACTTATTAGAGAATTATTTTCCCCCTTTGCGCTATTAACCATCTTGGAGATGGTTCCTGTCCTCACAAGCAGGAAAACACATCACTTTGATTATCAAAGAAGCTGTGATGGAGCCAGAGCAGCGCAGGAACCCACAAGGATAGTTCATTTCAGACCGTGAATGTTGGACAAATTGCTTAACGACTCTTTTTCTCATTGGAACATAGGAGGAATAAGGAATTCCTCATGGGATTCTTCTCCTATATTTTTTGACATCATGTAGTCACTCTGACAGGCATGAATTATGAATTAGAGACACTCCAGACTTGATGGCCCTGCTATTAAGCTGTGCTGACCTCTGGTTTCATGATGGCTTGTATATTTTGAAAGGGTAGTGAAAATTTTCACAAACATGTATAGATAAAAACACAACCTGAGGCATCTCCATTACCCTGAGGGAAAAGAAAGCATTCTGGCCACTTAGGATTTTTACAGTGGAAAATAGAAAATTTAAAGGATTCACATGCTTGCCAACAGTAGGGTCAGATATCTTAGCACTGTGTGTAAAGAATTTGGGTAGCATTCAAATGAATATTTTATAGATAATTAACTTCTTTCTTTTTTATCTTTTCTCAAATAGAATCAGGAAGCCTTGATTGTTTTATACTAAGTTCTGGTTCATTCTGCATGAATCACCTTTGTCTAATTACCTATCTGGAAAATTTCTACTTCCCTTTTATGTCCTTGTTGCCTCCTCTCTGATTCCTTCCCCCTTCTTCTCAAATTGAAGCACTCGTATTCCTGTGCTCACATCAGGCTTTGCACATATTTCTACTATGGTGTTATTATAATCTATTGTAATTGTGCACTAATTATAGTGGGCAATAATGTTTGTGTCTTTGGTACCTGGATTGATAATTAGTTTGTAGAAATAATCCAATAAGTGTTGAAGAGACCAAGAGAAAAAAAATAAAGGGACTAAGATACAAAGGAAAAAGAAAATAAAAACGACAAAAAGCAAGAAAATAATATTTTGGTCAAATCATATTAGGTAATTTTTTTTCTTTTTATTTAAAGCAATATACAAGTAAAATATGATCATTGTAAAATATTTGACAGAATTATATAAAGATAAAATTTAGAAAATGGGATTATGCCTTGGTCTTTCTACTTAAAAATATACGTTTGGCCTCATTCAATAGCCCTACATGTAGATATATTAAGTTGTTTTTATAAAGCAGCAAAGCATTCTGTAGTGGGTGGAGCATGAATTAAATTTCCACTTGTTTGCCAATGGCTATTGAAATGATTTCTAATATTTTCCTTTTCAAACATTACTACAATAAATATATTAGTACTACATAAATACTGACTATGTATTTATGTAGAGCTAATCAGTAGAAAAGAATTGATGGGTCCAAGTAAATGTTCTTTAACTTTTGGAGAGATCCTTCCAAAATGTCATCCAAAAAGATGATGACAATTATTGTTACCTTCACCAACATTTTCCCCATCATTGGCAACAATGGACACTTCAAGCCTCAACTTTTCTTCTGGGTTAATTTTATAGATAACAAGCAATATTTAATTTTTATTTTAATTTGCATTTACTAGATTATCAGTAAGGTAGGATATTGTTTACTACATATGCATCATTTCTTGGAATTTCATTGTCTCTGTCATTTACTCATATCATACTATATTAGAAACTTTATCTATTATATATGCAGTAAATAATTTCTCCTGGTCATTTACTAGGATTTTGTATAAGATTCTCATCAAGATTCACTGTTTAATGTAATCTAATTTCTTGACAGTTGCTGATCCACGTGTCATTTGCACAGTACTTGTGTCAACAAGAATTATCCAAAGCCCTCCAATCCCAATGGTGCTGTATAACAAGGATTTCACACCACTTCAGTCCCCAAGGGAGTCAAATCCTATATGTAAAACAAGGAGTTCCTCATAATGCTGAATATTTAATGAAATTGTGCACTAGGCTGAATTGATTTGATATGCATGTGCTGCTTTCTCTCTGGTGAACTCCTTAGTGTTCTGAAAACATGATAGTGATTCTGACATGCCCTTCATGGTTTAACAACTTCTTTCAAGAGAGAAACTGTACACCTGCAAATTGTGCTTGCATCTGATCTGGCATGATCAGATGCCCCATTATATTATAGCAGGTACACTCTCTTAAGGGTAATATACGAGGCTGAAGTTTTCCATTTAATTTTTGTTTTTATTTCAGAAACAATTTTAATTTTTGTTTCAGACTACTAGGTAAAAGGATATTTATTATATTTGCAGGTGCATTTTCCTTCTGCTCTTGTTTGATTTGAATGTCAGATGTAAAATTTAGCCAATTTACATAATCTTTAAGGGAATCCATTAACTCATTACTAGCTTTGGGAAATTACCTCCACCTGCTTCATCCCCTTGCATTACCAAACTGAGCTTTGCTAAATGAGCAGACTGAATATATTTTTATATTTTCTTTTACTAAAGAATTTCCTAGGACTCTTCACAACTAGGAAAAGAAGAAAACAGTGGTGCAGTAAACAATCTAAGTTCCTTGTAAACTTCAGGATTATTATTTATTTATGACACGAAAACATACTAATATTTTATTGATATTGTTCATCCTACTAAGTTCAAGCTTACCTGTCCAGATTTTAAGACTGAATTGGGCCCTACAGTATCAATCCATACCTACTTCCTTTCTATTTTAAAGTTAAGATACAACTTACATATAATAAATTTATTCATATCAAAGTATACAATTCAATCAGTTTTTGCAACTATCTATCGTCATTAACCACTACCACAATCAGGATATAGAATATTTTTATCATCCTCAAATTATTCCTTTTGGCCTTGCCCCCTCAAAAGCACCCACAGGACCCCAGATAAATACAGTATTTCTTGTCCCTATACTTTCAGCTTTTCTAGAATTTCATAAACATTGAAACCAACAGTAAGTAGTCTTTTGTATCTGGTGTCATTTACTTAATGTGTTGTGATTCATCCAAGTTGTCACATGTATAGCTTGTTCCTTTTTATTTCTGAGTAAGTATTCAGTGGCATGGATGTAATATAATATCTTCATTCACCAGTAGGTGGATATATAGGTTGTTTCCAATTATCAGTTATTAAGAAATACATTGCTGCAAACATTCTAGTAGATGCCTTTGTGTGGTCATATGTATTTACTTATACGTTTAAATACCTAAGAATAAACCTGCTGAGTTATATGCTGAGAATATGTTTAAACAGCTGAGAACTGCTAAGTTGTTTTCCAAAAAATTGTATAACTTGCATTCCTATCAGCAATGTATGAAAGTTGTAGTTTCTCTACATCTTCCCTCACACCTGCTGTTGTTAGTCTTTCTAATTTTAGCTATCTTAGTGGGTATGTAGTGATACCTCATTGCAGTTTTAACTTACGTTTCCCTGATGACTAATGACATTCAGAAACTTTTCATGTGTTTGTTTATCATTCATATGTTTTCTTTGGCATAGTGTCCAAATCTTTTGCCCATATATACAAATGAATTATTATTATTGAAGAATTCTTTATATATTATGTATACAATCCTATATGAGGTATATGTTTTGAAAATGACTTGTCTTTTTATTTTCTTGAAAAATGTTTTTTGAGGAGCAAAAGTTTTTAATTTTTATGAAGTTCAATTTATAATTTTTTATAGTTTGTGATTTTTGTGTGTGTGGAATAAATACAAATTATTATACCACAACAATCAACAGAAGACTTCTATAACCTCTGGTCACCAAGAAGTGGGTGGGAACTTTTCTCCACCAACATTCAATCAACCAATTCTGCAGAAGATTTTTTGGCGAATACCACCTGTGGGTCCTCTAATTCAATTTGGTTCTGCCACTGTCTACTGGAGATAGCGTCAGATCACACAAGTTGAGGGTTAAGTCCCACAAGACTGCCCCCAACTTCTGAGGCCAATCTCAAGCCCCAGATTGTTTTACCTGTGCCTCTGATGGTCAGGCTGTAGATAGGGTTCCCACAACCTCTTCCTTCGGTGCAATTAATTTGAGGAGAGGCTCACAGAGCTCAGGGAAACACTTACTTATGTTTACTGGCTTATTACAAAAGGCATTACAAAGGACATTACAAAGGAAGTGATGTGTAGGGCGCAGCGTGCAGGAAGGGACATTGAGCTTTCATGTCCTCTCTGAGGGCACCACCTTCCAGGGACTTCCATGTGTTCCGTTATCCAGAAGCTCCTAGAACCCAGTGCTTTTGTGTTTTCATGGAAGCTCTATGAAGTAGGTAGTATTGATTATATCACTGGCCATTGATGATGAGCTTAACCTTCAGCCCCTCTCCCCTCCTTGTAGCCTTCTAATTCTGCCTTTGTCTTTCCAGCAACCAGCCCCCATCTTGAAGCTACCTAGGGGCAGCCAGCCATCACTTAATGCATTAGCATTCAAAAACATACTTATCAATCACTTTAGAGAGTCCAAGGATTTTAGGAATTGTATGCTAGGAAATAGGAAAGGATGAAGACCCCAAGAATACATTTCACCATATCACAGTGTGCTGTCTAAGGAATCTTTGCCCACCAAGATTATAAAGTTTTTTGTTCTGCGTGTTATTTTTCCATATGAGGTGAAATGAGAGTCAAGTTTCATTTTCACATATTCAATTGTACCAGAGTCATTTGTTGAAAAGATTACTTTTTCCAGCCTGAATTATCTTGGCATCTGTATTAGTCTGTTTTCACGCTGCTGATAAATACATACTCAAGACTAGCCATTTTACAAATGAAAGAGGTTTAATTGGACTTCCAGTTCCAGGTGGCTGGGGAAGCCTCACAATCATGGCAGAAGGCAAGTAAGAGCAAGTGCTGTCTTACGTGGATGGCAGCAGGCAGAGGGAGAATCAGGAAGACTTAAAAGTGGAAACCCCTGATAAAACCATTGATCTCCTGAGACTTATTCACTACCACAAGAACAGTATGGGGGAAACTGCCCCCATGATTCAATTATCTCCCACCAGGTCTCTCCCACAACATGCAGGAATTATGGGAGTACAATTCAAGACAAAATTTGAATGGGGACACAGAGCCAAGCCATATCAGCATCTTTGTTAAAAATTTATTGACCATATATCTGTCACTTCATTTCTGGACTCTATTATTTTCCAGTGATTATTCACACACACATAGACACACACAGATTGTACCAAACTTATGATGGATAGTTCAACTTACAATTTTTCAACTTTCAAGAGGTTTGCTGGGAGATAACCCCATTGTAAGTTAAGGAGCACCTGTACCTAAGATGGTTTGACTTACAATTTTTCAAGTTCGTGGCAGGGACACTGAATACATTTTTGACAAGATATTTTTTGACTTATTATAGATTTATTAAAATATAAGTTGAGCATCTGTGTATATATACATATGAATATATATTTATATATTGTGAAAATACACAGATGTATACATATGCAGATTTTCCTCAACTTATATTTCAATAAAAAAGATATATGCATATGTATATATCTTCACGCCATACCATACTCTCTTGATTACTGTAGCTTTATATGAATTTTTGAAATCAGGTAGCATAATAGCCAAACAGTTTTGAAATGAGGCATTTTCAAAACTGTTCGGCTATTCTGAGTTCTTTGCATTTTTACATAAATGTTAGAATCCGTGTGTCAATTTTTACAAAAAAAAAAATAAAATCCCCAGACCAATTTAGGAAGAATTGACATCTTAACAACGTTGAGTCTTCTGATCTATGGTATAACTCTCCATTTTTGAGGTCTTTAAATTCTCTGAACAATGTTTTATAGTTTGCACATTTTTGTTAAATTTGAATCTAAGTATTTTATTTTTAATATTGTAAGTGAAAGAGTAAAAGTGAGGCTTGTTAAGTCATAGACAATTTCAAAAGTCTGTTTCCACATCCTTAAGCACATGGTCTGTACTCTGTACTTAAACTATATTGGCAGTTATATCATTACCATATTTATGCATTTTTATATCATTTTCCTACTTATGTTTCTTTCCTTTCTTTATTTGTGAAAATACTACCTATGCTAAGATCTTTTAATTGGTTCATGTATTTAGTACATGGTATTTGAATACTTATTGTTTCTTAAATCTTATGATGGACACTGAAAGTACAGTGATTAATAAGAAATAATTCTTGTCCTCAATGATACAATGGGTAAGAAAATGACATAAAAGCTGCAGCTTTATTGACTGAAGAGATGAGTAAAATAACTTTTTCAAATGTTCTATAGCTTGTTTTTGTATGGTGATTACACAGGTATATACAATTGTAAAATTTCATGGCAAGTTAGCATCTGCAAATTTTTTAGGTAAGTTAAATTTTAATAAAAATATACATCTTTATGTGGCAAATGCTAACACATATCTTTCCATGAAGAGATCAAAAAAGGATAAAAGAAGAAGTGAATGCTGAAAGATGATGAGGAAATCCCTGGGCAGAAGAGGAAAAAAAAAAACCTCCAAGCTGAGATAATAGCATGTGCAGATACACGCACAAGCAAAGAACATGATGTCTTTAAGGAACTTCACATAGTTGTATACACAGGAAGTACAGGGGATGGTTGGGGAGCAATAGAAGAGAGAGATAGAGACAATACAAAGAAACATCTTTATATGAAACCAAGACATTGGCTTGATACTGCAGGTTTTATGGAAGCACTAAAGTGTCCCTAGCAGGTTCTGGGGTAAAAAAGGCAAATACGTATTGTAGAGATTTTTGGTCCTTTGCAGAAGAAAATGGAAGGGGTTATTTGACCCAGTGGCACTTAATTAATTCTCTAGCCTCTGTCCACCAAGGCACAGTAAAGCTGCTGTAGAAGGTGGCCCATTATTCAGTCACAGTATTGAAAAACGTATGGCACATTGTTCGCTCCATTTATTTTGTATTCTTCTCAAGGTTAATATTTGATTTTTTCCTTTTATAATTCCAACTATTTGGTTATCCTGAACTCAGGGCTTGATTTGATTCTCCAAACTTCTTCATACAAATCTTCTCATTTGAAATGCCCCAGATAACCCCTCTGTAGGGAGAATCTTGAGTAAACACACAGTCAGCACCTGGCATGGCCTCTCTCTGGACTCCCTGGACTAAAAATGCTGAATGTAATTGAAGGAAGTTAGAAGTTCACTACAACCATCAAAGTAAGAGAAAAAGAGGGTATGAAACAAGTCAAAGGAATAAGTCAGCCAGTGGAAATGGAAATATGATAATGTAATGGCTTGAGACTTTGGGGGATGTTGGAATAGGATGAAAGTGGGACAGTTATGAATTTAGGGAGGCTAGCTAGCCCACTGTCATAGACAGAATAATGAATGCCTCTTCCCACTGAAATTTTCTGCATGATGTCCTCTAGAAAATGTGAATGCATTTTCTTATGTGGCAAAAGAAATTTTGTGGATGTGATTAAATTAGGGAACTTGAGATGGGAGCTTAATCACAAAGGTCCTTATAAGAGGGTAGCAAGAGTGTCAGAGTCAGAGGAAGGAGGTGTGACGACGGAAGCAGCAATGGTAACAGTGATATGGTGCCCGAGCCAAGGAATGTGGACCAGCCTCTAGAAGCTGGAGAAGACAAGGAAGTGATTGTCCCTGGAGCCTTGAGGAGGAATGCAGCTCTGCTGACTCATTTTGGATCTCTGAGTTACAGAATTGTAAGATAATGAATTTATATCGTTTTAAGCCACTAAGTTTGTGGTAATTTGTTACAGCAGAAATAGGAAACTAATACAAAGCCCACTATTAATTCCTAGTTTTACCACTTCCCAGGCTGATCTTGGAACTTAAAACACTTTAAACTCCATTGATTCCCTTCCCATCTTTTATGTTC
This sequence comes from Homo sapiens, assembly GCF_000001405.40. NCBI lineage: Eukaryota > Metazoa > Chordata > Mammalia > Primates > Hominidae > Homo > Homo sapiens. The sequence goes on along the minus strand of NC_000002.12, from coordinate 22,817,129 downwards.
CTGTTTTCTCACATTCTAATTCAACAAATATTTAAGCTCCCTGGAGAGATTATTATTACGATTGTTTTGAACTGTTAATATTTAGATTAATGTACATATTTTCCTTTTCAATCACTTTTCATTCTTTCTCATACTTCTGTACTTTGTTCACCTGGGGTCATTTGCCCTTAGACTGAAAACCTCCCTTCAGTATTCACTTTAGTTTACATTTACTGACAACAGATTTCCTAGGTTTTGTTTCTTTGGAAATATTTTAATTTTGTCTTTCCTTTTGAAGAACATTTTTGTGGGATACAGGATTCCAGGTGGGAATTATAGGACTTTTCTTTCAGCATTTAAATAATGCCATTCAATTGTTTTTGGCTTCTATTGCTTTTGTTAAAGAATCAATTTGCAGTGTTATATTCATATTACTTTGGAAGGTAATATATCTTATTTGCTCTGTATTCTTTAAACATTTCATTTTTCTTTGTTGGTTTTCAAAAATTATTTTGATGCACCGGATTTTCTTTCTTTTGGTTTAATCTGCTTGGGGTTTATAGAACTTCATGAATATATAATTGGATGCCTTTGACTATTTTAGAAAATTCTTAGGCTTAAAATATTGCTTTCATGCTACTTTTTGTCTTTTACTTTTTTGTGCTCCAGTTACAATTAGACCCTCTTTGCCATGTTGCATACAATTGGTATGTTCTTTTCTGCATATTTTATCTCATTTGTTCTCCAGGATTTAGTCTGAATATTTTCTATTGACTTTTCTTTCAGCTTAACAGTCTCTCTTTTGCTGTGTCCTGTCTACTGTTAATTAAAGCCATCTTTTAATTTCTCATTTGCAGTTATACCTTTAGTTCTAAAAGTTATATTTGAATACTTAATTGAAGATTTAAGATTTATAACTACAATCTTGCCATCTACTTTCTTGACCTTATAAAACTGATTTGTTGAATAATAGTTATTTGAATATCCATATTTGATTAATCGAATACTTGGTTTGCCTATGGATCTATTTTATTATCTGTTTTATTTTCCCTTGGTCCTCTTACTTGGTGTGGAAGGTAAGTTTTGATTGAATGCAGGACATTCTGTATAAAACATTATAGGGTTTCTGGCTGGCATTATCTTCCTCTAGGTACGATTCCCCTTGCTGTCTGGCAGGCAGCTATGGTAGAGCAGATCTCTCTAATCAGGGCCTGAGCTTATTAACGGCTGGGTTTCCATTGTTGGCAGGCACAGACTAGAATGGATCATCCCAGTCTAGGTGTACTACTCTCCAGAGGCACCAGTTTAGAGCCTGGATTGTTTGTTAGGATCTTTCCCTGCACCCAGGAAACTCTAAATTTTTTCACCTCGGTACCTTGTAACTTGAAAATTCTACTCTGTTATCCAGCTCTTTTTCTGTTTGTTTTCTTAGCCTCTCATCCTGCACAGCTTAAGAATTTGGCAAATACGGGCTGGGCGTGGTGGCTCACGCCTGTAATCCCAGCACTTTGGGAGGCCGAGGCGGAAAGATCATGATGTCAGGAGATCGAGACCATCCTGGCTAACACGGTGAAACCCCGTCTCTACTAAAAACATAAAAACTTAGCCAGGCGTGGTGGCGGGCGCCTGTAGTCCCAGCAACTCGGGAGGCTGAGGCAGGAGAATGGCTCGAACCCAGGAGGCGGAGCTTGCAGTGAGCCGAAATCGCGCCACTGCACTCCAGTCTGGGCTACAGAGCGAGACTCCGCCTCCAAAAAAAAAAAGAAAGAAAAGAATTTGGCAAATACTTTAAGGGTCTAAGCTTTGGTTTTCAGCCAAAGTGGTTTTGCTCCTCAGAGGACATTAGGTGATGTCTGAAGACACTTTTTGGTTCTTACAACTCTGGAGAGAGGGGCTGGGGAGTGGGTTGCTCCTGGCATCGGTGGGTAGAGGCCAGGGATACTGCTAAACATCTTACAATGCGAGGACTCCCCCCTCCCCTAGTAAAGAACTAAAAGGCTTGGCACATCGAGAATGTGGAGGATGATAAGCTCAGCTCTCAACCACTCAGCATCAGGTTTACTGCCTTTCACCTCTTTTTTCTCACAGACCTTGGTTTCTCGGGTTCTGACTGCCTTGGCACCTGCAAAACTCCATGTAAAAAAGAAAAACCACTTCAGCCTCATGAGGTATTTAATATCTTTGCGGGTTTTCTGTCTTGTACTGCTGAGGCTCTGCCAAGCATTTCATCTTCACGTCTTACACCAAGAATAGGCAAAGCCCCAAGGGTAGACAAGGCTTCCTGAGAATTGTGCTTCACCTGAATGGGCCTCATTTTCTTTAGGATCTGGCTTCTCAGGCCCGAGGGGGCCTCATTATATCTCCAGTCTCCAAATAACGTTTTAAAAATGTTCTCTAGCTTTTACCATTTTTTTCTTGGCTAGATTATTGGTCTCAAGTTACCCTCTTATAGCTAGAGACCATAGTCCTTCTAGCCGATAAGAAAGCAAAAAGTGGGAGAGAGAAGCTAAGCTCAGCGGAGTAACTGTGAAGAAGAAACTATTCCATATTCAGCCAGAGATAGGAGACACGTGCAGGGTCTCCTTCATAACCAGGAAAGAAAGACTGAAAAAAAATCTTTTGCAGAAAATCTGCTGGATCCATGGCTTTAGAGGAAGCTATAGGCCTAAGAGGTAAGAGAAAAAAGAAAACATACAAACAAAAAATGGATGAGCAAGGAAAGGCACCAAGCCTCCTTCTGAATTTGTCATAGTCTCAGAATCACTATGAAGCAAAGCCTAGGCCTGCTATTTCAAGCCTAGGATGGAAACTGGCATGAGACAATCCCAGACTTTCTACACTGAGAGGGTTGTGTACAGAGAGAGGGGGTCTGTGCACCTCAAATGACGCTACAAATACAACTCTAAACAACATGAAGGGGTCAAATGTTAAAAAGGTGAACATAGCTAATAATCCCAATCTCAATCCATTTTTATAAAATGAACTTTTTGTTATTTTAAATAATTAATATAGGTGTGTTTGGGATGTCAAAAGATAAAAAATGACTAACATCTATTAAAATGAACAAGAATTATGAAGAAAGTAAAACAGAAAAAAATGTTTAAAAAGTCTAATTCAGATCTTGCTTATGATGGTTAGTTTCATGTATCAACTTGGAGGGTATTTTTTGGATGAGATTAATTTAGTTTGATGAATTTTGGCTGAAGGAGATTGCCCTCGTTAATGTGGGTGGACCTTATCAAATCAGTTGAAAGCCTGAAGAGAATGAAAGCGGACTTCCCCAAGCAAAAGGAAAACTCTCCAGCAGACTGCTCTTCAACTTCATTGGAACCATCGACTCTCCCAGGTCTCCACTTGCTGCCCTTTGGACTGGAACAGTATCATTGGCTGTCTTAGATCTTTGGCTTGCCACCCACTGCAGGTTTTGGACGTCTTAGCTTCGTAGTCACATGAGCCAATTCCTTATAATGCATCTCTTTTAAATCTCTTTCAAAGCCCCCCTCATTGTTCTGTTTCTCTGGAGAACCCTGGCTTATACACTTGGCATTTGTAAAAATTAAAATTAAAGATCATAATAGATTGGAGGAAATGGACTCCTTAAGTGAGTGGAGTACAGATTGACAGGCCACACCATATGTCTAGTAGGAATTGTGGAAGAAAAGATGGACATGCTGGTGGAGAAGCAATATACGAAGACATGGAAGGTGTGATTGATGTTTTCAGAAACTCTGAGTTCTTGGTCAAAAAATCCATGCCATATGCCATCCAGGATAAATAAAAACAAAAAATCCACAACTTGACACATAGGAGCAACATTATATGTCATTAGAGAAAAAGAGAGAAATGCAAAAAGCTAGCAGAGAGAAAAGGCAGATGACCTTCAGATAAATTGTAGTTTAAATGAGGGCAGATGTAGGTCCCAGAACAATGTCCAGAAGAAAAAATCAAATGCTTAAAATCCTGAAGGAAACTCACAGTTAACCTCAACTTTTGACTCAGCTACATCTTCATTTCTGTGGGATGGTTGTGTAAAGGTAATTTTTGTTACCTTGATAAGCCTGCTTATCACTTACAGAATAAGACCATAAGATTTATTACAATGAGCACTTTAGGTAGAGAAGATGGAAGCTCAGAGCATGGCAATGAGGAAAAAGGTGAATGCATGCTTGCACACACACGACAATTATGTCTATAAATTTAAAAGATTTTTTGTATTTAAAAGGTGAAACTAAAAATGTAGATGGCAATAACATAATGGGAGTGCTAATGCATTTTTAAAGCATTCTAAAATTCTTGACAAGTTTTGGAAGGGAGAAAACCATTGAATAACTTTAGACTTTACTAGAAAACAAGTGTGTAGTTAAA